>NC_000001.11:236790182-236941697 GCF_000001405.40 Homo sapiens
GGGGTTTCACTATGTTGGCCAGGCTGGTCTCGAACTTCTGACCTTAAGTGATCCACCCATCTCGGCCTCCTGAAGTGCTGGGATTACAGGTGTATAATCTGCACTTGACTCCAAGATTTATTTTCCTTTCACAATATGAACCCTATGTTATAGGGTGAAGATTAAATATGAGATTGTACATAAGAACTTAGAAATTCATCTGACAGTATGTGTAAGCTAAAACCCATTTTTGCATTTAATTTTAGTCCTGTCTACATTTAGGTGCTAGCATAGTTAGCTAGGTAAAAGATGAACTGTCTTTGGATAATTAAGAATGCTTCTGTCCAGGTGAAGTTTAAAAAAAAAAAAAACCTTCTAGAGTCCCTGGAACAGGTGGCACAAATTCAGCCAATTGATACCCTCCAGTGTCAAGTCTTACAGAGAGAGACAGCAAATCTCTACCTCAGTGCAGGAAGAAAGGGAGAGCGAGACCTTCCAGGGCTATTGGTTATAATAAAATGACATTCCTTTTTACCTTGTACCTGGTGCCAGGGCCATATCCCACAGATTCAAAATTCAGCTCATTTAGTACAATCCATATGGGTAATCATAACGGTTGTTGACCTATGTGATAAGGCCCCTCAACCATCTGAATGGACTTCCCGCTCAGCCAGGGTACTCTTAAAATGTAACCTGAGGCCGGGTGTGGTGGCTCACGCCTGTAATCCCAGCACTTTGGGAGGCCGAGGCAGGCAGATCACCTGAGGTCAGGAGTTCGAGACCAACCTGGCCAACATGGTGAAACCCCATCTCTACTAAAAATACAAAAATTAGCTGGGCATGGTGGCACATGCCTGTTTAATCCCAGCTACTAGGGAGGCTGAGGCAGGAGAATCACTTGAACCAGGGAGTCGGAGGTTGCAGTGAGCGGAGATCACGCCACTGCACTCCAGCCTGGCGACAGAGCAAGACTCCATCTAAAAAAAAAAAAGTAACCTAAAAGACTGGTTCAGACCATGAACAAAAGTGAGGGTCTGGGCCATGCCTCATTATACCTCTCCGGCATTAACATCAACACAGACCTTAAGTCTGATAAGAGGCATTTACAATCTATTCTCTCCGTAGCCTGCTACCTGAAGGCTTCCTCTGCACAATAAGAACTTTGGTCTTCACAATCCTTTAACCCAGACATTTGCTTTCTATTGATCCCAGGTCTTTAGATAAACTCAACCAATTGTCAACCAGAAAATTTTTAAATCTGCATATAACCTGGAGGGCCCCCCACCCCCACCCTGTGCCTGGCTTCAAGTTGTTCCGTGTTTCTGAACTGAACCAATGTATTTCTTAAATTGTGAACCGAACCAATGTACTTCTTAAATGTATTTGATTGAAGTCTCATGTCTCCCTAAAATGTACAAAACTAAGCTGCACCTCAACCACCTTGGGCACCTGTTCTCAGGACCTCCTGAGGGCTGTGTCATGGGCCATGGTCACTCATATTTGGCTCTTAATGAATCTCTTCAAATATTTTACAGAGTTTGACTCTTTTTGTCAACAACACTATGAAGGGATTTGAGGGAAGGAAATAGCGGGGCTCACCTTTGTGACAGGGATCTTCTGGGGGAAAACCCATGGTCACCCCAGTAGACTCCAGAAGTAGTACATCCTTGTTCCAGATCTGGCCCATAGTTTATATTTGCAAGACTCTTGACTAGCAGGACACAAAGAGCCACCTAATGGGTTTGACACAACCACCAAGACCAGAGAATAATGCATAAAGCTGGAATGTCAATTTGCTACTGCTATACAGTAGGAGTTGGATATTTAGGTTCACTGATCTCCACTTCTATCTATGAAGACAAATCCACAGGGAAAGAAGTCCCAAATCACCAAGAGGTTGTTTGGACCCTAACCTCTAAACAATGGGTTTGTGTTGGATGAGTTTAATGAGAATGAGCTTAATGAGGGGGAAAAAAGCAGGCTAGCAGGCTATCACCAACTTAAAATAGCAGGTTCTCTCCTACAGAGATAGAGACCCTCGTTAGTCCCAGCCCATCCACAGATATAGTTGTATTAGTTTCCAAGGATTGCTTTAGAGTTTCCGAGGAAGTACAAAAACTGAGTGGCTTAAAACAACAGAAATTTATTACCTGACAGTTCTGGAAGCAAGAGGTCCCAAATTGAGGTGTAGGCAGAGTAATGCTTTTTCTGAAACCTACAAGGGAGAACCCTTTCTTGTCTCTTCTAGATTTGGATGTCTGCTGGCAATCCTTGGAGTTCCCTGGTTTGCAGGTGCTTCCCTCCAGTCTCCACCTTTGTTGGCAAGTGGCTCTTTTCTCCTCGTGTATCTCCCCTTCTCATAAGGACACCAGCTACGCTGGATGATGATCTCATAACTAAACTAACCTGCAACAAACCTATTTCCAAATAGGGTCATTAAGGTCATATTCTTTTTTTTTTTTTTTTTTTTTTTGAGTCTGAGTATCTCTCTGTTGCCCAGGCTGGAGTGTAGTGGCTCAATCTCCACTCACTGCAACCTTCACCCTGCCAGGTTCAAGCGATTCTCCCACCTCTGCCTCCAGTAGCTGGGATTACAGGCATGTGCCACCACACTCGGCTAATTTTTGTGTTTTTCTTTTTCTTTTCTTTTTTTCTTTCTTTTTTTTTGAGACGGAGTTTCACTCTTGTTGCCCAGGCTGGAGTGCAATGGCACAATCTCGGTTCACTGCAACCTCCCCCTCCCGGGTTCAAGTGATTCTCCTGCCTCGGCCTCTCGAATAGCTGGGATTACAGGCATGCACCACCACACCCGGCTAATTTTGTATTTTTAGTAGAGACGGCGTTTCTCCATGTTGGGCAGGCTGGTCTCGAACACCCGACCTCAGGTGATCCGCCCACCTCAGCCTCCCAAAGTGCTGGGATTACAGATGTGAGCCACCACGCCTGGTTAATTTTTGTATTTTTAGCAGAGATGGGGTTTCACCATATTGCCCAGGCTGGTCTCGAACTCCTGGCCTCAAGCGATCCACCAGTCTCGGCCTCCCAAAGTGCTGGGATTGCGGGTGTGAGCCACTGCACCCGGCCCAAATAGGGTCATATTCTGAAGCACTGGAAGTTAGGGCTTCAACATATCTTTGAGGGGGACACATTGCAACCCATACAGTATTCTTGGAACTGTAAATCGCGTTTTTGTACTAGAAATTCACTGCCCCTTTAGGCACTATGTATTCCTCTAATCTTATTTGTTACTCTTTTACGACTTTAAGAAATACAGAATTTGGTCAGTTTTAGCTGAGAGAGTAAACTTTGATGACTTGCATCAAACAGGGACTGGCACACAACTCCTGGAATTTCCAGTAAGAGAATGTGAATGGGGGACAGTTGCCGACTAGGTGCCTGAAAGATCATTTTTCAAGAAACACGTCAACAAACTTTGAGGGATACATGATAATTAAAAAACTAGCTTCAACCCGGGAGGCGGAGGTTGCAGTGAGCTGAGCCAAGATCGTGCCAGTGCGCTCCAGACTGTGCGACAGAGTGAGACTCCGTCTCAAACAAACAAACAACTAGCCCTTATAATCTTTTTTTTTTTTTTTTAGACAGGTGCATCTTTACACAGTTAAATTTCACTACTTCTTTTTTTGCAGATAAAAACTCAGGAGTTGAGAAATGAATAAACATAATAATAAATATGAGAAAACCATCATGATTTATCAAGCCTGGATAAATAATTTAATAAGTTCAGCATAGAAGACCTTGCTTTTTTTTCTTTCCTCCTTTTCTTCTTCTTTTTTTTTAACTTATTTATTTCAATAGGTTTTTGGGGAGCAGGTGGTGTTTGGTTACATGAATAAGTTCTTTAGTGGTGATTTGAGAGTTTGGTGCACCCATCACCTAGGCAGTGGACACTGCACCCAATGTGTAGTCGTTTATCCCTCACCTACTCTCACCCTAGCCCTTATAATCTTAAGATTTTTGGCTATTTAGGGCCATCTCATTCCTCCCTCCCTTCTTTGTTGCATTCTCTCTCACCTACTCCATTCCCCCCACCTTCCAAGTAAGACCATCTTTGGTAAGATGGTCTTGGTAAGAATGTGATACGCATTATAATAATTTTTCAAATCTTCAAAATTGAGGTATAATTACATACAATAAAATGAGAATGGCATGCAAATTTGTGCCTTTTTTAAAGCTTAGTAAATGTCATAATTTGGTTATAGTTTTTATTTTTCTGGATGCATTTGCTTTTCCTTACATCTACCATGCTCAGCCTTACAGAGATTTTTCTAGATGAATTTGCTTTTTCTCACATCTACCATGCTCGGCCTTACAGAGCTGCCCTTTATTTTAGAATTCCCTAAAGTGCTGTGTTGTACACAGGGAGCTTCTCCTGACTGGAACAACCTTACCTGGTACCACTCTTCCTTCAGGACCCAGATTCTTCTTTGAAACCTTTCCCTGGCCCCTTTGAATACTCTAGCTCTTTTAAAATGTATGTGGTTCTTTTTTCCCTGTTCAATTATTAATCTAACTAGGTTGTGAGTTCCTCCTCCAAGGACGTGAGGGTGCGATGTAGCTTGTCTGATTTTGCATTCCAAGTGTGTGCCCCAATGCCTGACACATAGTAGGTGCTCAATATATGTTTACTGTCAATAAGTTACAATTAACACCCCCATATGGTAATTCAGAGTTTTCATAGCGCGGTCAAACGATCTCATTTAACGCCTACTACAACCCTAAAAAATTCTAATTACTACCATCCTATCATTCTTGTTTGTAGAGTGTGGAGACTGAGAGGTTAACTGTCTTGCCCAGCGCAAGTCAACAGCAAAACGGAACTAAAATTTCAGGCTCGACACCACACAGCGTGTCGAGATCAGCACGAACTTGGCGCTGTGACTTTTCCTTAGAGGGGCCACTTAGGCTTACACTTCCGGATCCTGGGCACACAGAGACGCGAAAAGCTCCCGCGGGAAACTGGGGAGCGGGACTACATCTCCCAGAGAGCCCCGGGGCTAAACAGCAGGTGATTGGTTGATATTGACAGCCAATGCGGCTGCGAGGAGCTCGGGCAGACCAATCACAGGCCGGAAGGGGCGGGACCTCCCACGCCGAGGATAGATTGAGCGCAGAACTAACCGCGCTCTGAAAGGTTCTAAATGTCTGCGGGGCTCAGAGCCGGATGTCACGTCGTCCTCCTCTGCCGGTTTTCTCTTGGGTCCTTTTCCGTGCCGTCCCGCGACTCCGCCTCTGGCCGCGCGTGTCTGGCTGCTAGGCCGACACCAAGGACTGGCCGGGTACCCGGGAAGAAAGCACGTGCTCCAGCAGTTGCCGCGCCCAGCCCCGAGAGAGGCCCTAGGGCGCTGCGGGCTTTCGGGGTCCGCAGTCCCCCCGCGACGCGAGCCAACGGGAGGCGTCAAAAGACCCGGGCCTTGTGTGGCAGGCTCGCCTGGCGCTGGCTGGCGTGGCCCTTGGCCGTCGTCACCTGTGGAGAGCACGTCTTCTCTGCCGCGCCCTCTGCGCAAGGAGGAGACTCGACAACATGTCACCCGCGCTCCAAGACCTGTCGCAACCCGGTAACGCTGCGACCCCGTCTGCGTGGTTGGGTTGTGTTTCTTAACTCGTGCTGTGGCCTCCTAATCCCTGGGGCGATTCCCTTCTGCGGCGGGAGACGCCCGGCGGTGTTTCCCCGCGTGTGGGCGGCACCTTTAGAACTTAGCGCAGGAGCCCGGAGGGCTACGTGTTTTGCTCCACTCTTTGTCCGACCTTCACCTCTTTCTCCCCAGGCAAGCCATCAAAACCTGCAAAAAGCGTCCTCCCCTCGCCCCCGAAACACATTCTTAACGTCACAGTAACTAAACTTTCCAGTTCCACGCAGCATAAACCAGCTGGGCCCTCTGGAAGTTTTTTTTTTTGCATGGTGTGACGCTTATTCGTAAATATGTATTGCGCACCTACTGCGAAAGAAAGTTCAGGCGCGGAGAGACAGACGAGGAAACTCAGAGAACTATTTAAAACTACTACATGGAACTTTTTATTTTCTGCTTCTACGCACGCTGCTGCAAAACTGCAATATGCATAGACTCACTATGTTAAAATAGATGAGCAGACCCCACCTCCAGATACCGAAATGGGAGGTAGTAATTTCAAGCGATTCTGATGTTGGTGGCCCTGGGATCAACAGTGAGAAAAAGCTAGTTTAGCACGAGAACTGAACGTAATGTTAGCTTTATAACGAGCTCTAGATCTCTAAGGTCATGCCTGATTATAATTTGAGGACAAATACACCCGTAAAAACGGGTGAGGAGATGTAGAAACGAGAATTAGTGATAAGTACAAAACAGTAAATATCCTATCACATAGTGGGGATGTTTAGCTTCAGGAAGAGGGGGAATACTAAATTCGTAACGCACAAGGAAATTTATCAGAGGTTAACCGGTGACTCTCTTGATTCTTGGGTTCTGATAACGGGACTGATATAATTGTTCTTGAAACTAGTGGAACTGTGGCTGAGAAACACATCACTGCTGTTATTAAATAAGATATAAACCTCCCTATGAGAGGTTTATATGTTATTTAATATATTAAATAAGATGTAATGAGGTTACATCTTATTTATATTTAATATTTAATTAATAAATGTAAACCTCCCTATAAGAGATTTATATCTTATTGAATAAATGATCATAGGGAGATCATATTTATTTGGAAAACATCTTTTACTCATGATTTCTGGCCTCCCCCTTCCCATTTAATTTAAACAAGTAAAGTTATTTCCCTTTCATCTGAATTTAGGTGTCATTATCAGGAGCAAAATGCCACTGAAGACTTAAAATACTGTGAATAGTGAGTGATTTAAAAAAAAAAAATAAACTGAAAGGAAAATTGTTGAATGTTTGAATCTTGCCTAGTCCCCTCACCCCCAAGGCTGGCTTCTAGAGTTGAGCACTGAGTGGAGTTTAACCAAGTCTAGGGCCTCTGAAGTTCTGAATCAGGCCATTGTGCCTAGAAAAGACCTTAGATGTAGTCCAGCTTCTGTCTATGTGAGCAACTTTTATTGGGATTAGAATCAGGTTTTAACTTCCTAATAACCCTTAGTAATTTACTGGCGTACAATCTTAATGAAATTTTAATGGAGAGCTGGGAATTCCTGATTCTCAAGGTTGGGCCTTAAAACTAAATGTGACTTCAGACCATGGTTGTGTGCCCTGGGGAAGGAGGATGGTGGGCTAGCAAATACATCTTGGGAGAAAATTTTAACTACAGCTTCTAAAAGTTTCTTGGTTTCATCCTTGCTTAGGACTGTGAGTGTTATTTGGAACTCAATTGATGAGTGATTAATGAAGGAATGAATAATCCAGTGAATTGGTATCAATTGATGAGTGATTAATGAAGGAATGAATAATCCAGTGAATTGGTATCAGCCTAATTCTTCTCCGGCTTATTAAAATCAAAGGGGGAAATAATATATATTAAAAATGGAATACTGCACAAGCAAAGAGATGCCCCCAAAGAAGCTGGGCGCGGTGGCTCATATCTGTAATCCCAGCACTTTGGGAGGCCGAGGCGTGCGGGTCACCTGAGGTCAGGAGTTCGAGACCAGCCTGGCCAACATGGTGAAACCCCATCTGTACTAAAAATACAAAAATTAGCTGGGTTTATAGTGAGCGCCTATAACCCCAGCTACTCAGGAGGCTGAGGCAGGAGAATCGCTTGAACCCTGGAGGCTGAGGTTGCAGTGAGCCGAGATCATGCCACTGCACTCCATCCTGGGTGAGAGAGTGAGACTTAGTCTCCAAAAAAAAACAAAACAAAACAAAACAAAACCAAAAAAACAAAGTGTAGCAAGTCTGTGCAAACTAGAAATTAGAGATCCAAAAATGAAAGAGAGAAGTATCTTGCAAGTGACTTGTAGGGCAGTAGTAAGATTGTTTTTAATAAAGCAAAGAAAGAACAGTGCTGAGAAAGCCTTGGGATCATTTGATTATAATGCAGAAAATAAAAATGTGCTTTTGCTGTATGTGTTCCCCATTTAGCACAGTGGAAAGAGGGGTCCTAAGTAAGTCAGATCTATTTGGGGTCATTTTACCTTCAGAGCAGATGTGTTCTTGACACTGCAATTTATAACTTACATGCACATATTAGGAATTTATTTGTTTAGGCCTTCATCTTGTCATTCTTTAGGCTAGTTCTTAAAGGTGGTACTAGCTGGTCTACCCCCCTCCAAATCTGACTAGGGCTTTAACCACTTATACCTATGTTTATTCTTTGGAACACTTGCTGTGAATCAGAATATTGTTAGCTAGAAAATAAGATGTTAAGGGCACGGAAAAAAACCCCACAAAATATATTGGCTAAATCCACTCAAAACTGGAGAAAATACTGTGTGATCTCTTAGGCTCACTAGCCAAGGATGTTCCTTGGGACTCTCCTCTGCACTGCGGTTATTTACATATATACATTAAACATAAAAATATTTCTGAAATAGTGTTATAACTAGTCAGCTAAGTAAAGGAACTGCAAAACTATATTCTTATATTTACTGTGAAAGATAATCAGAAAGAATCTGCTTTATTTAGAACTTGACTAGTCAGTAGTTAAGTATACAGAATGTTCTAGACCTAATGAACTGAATACAGATAAATACAATTTTGTTGTTCTTCATGGAAGAGTGACATTTCAGTAGATCCCCACTCTGCCAGGGGAAGGAATTGTCAAGGTGACTTATTCTTTTGAGCAAGTTCTGATAGTAATTGGAAACTGGTGAATTAGAATGGTAATTAAAGCCCAGTGAAAAATGACCTCCTACTGGAAAAACTGGAGGAATACAGAAGGCTAAAAATAGTGAACACTTAATACCAACAGATTTTCTGAAGGAAGACTTCTTAGTTTCTCTAAATGGGAAATCTTACATTATCCTCTAAAGGAAAAATAAGCAAGTAGTTGAGGAAACTATGTTTTTTTTTTTCCCCCTTTTTCTTGAGACAGTCTCACTCTGTTGCCCAAGCTGAGGGCAGTGGCGTGATCACGGTTCACTGCAGCCTCGACTTCCCAGGCTCAAGCAGTTTTCTTGCCTCAGCCTTACTAGTAGCTGGGACTACAGGTGCATACTACCAGGCTTGGCTAATTTTTGTTTTTTTTTTTTGTAGAGATGAGGCCACTGTGTTGCCCAGGCTGTTTTCGAACTCGTGGACTCAGTGATCCACCTACTTTGGTCTCCCAAAGTGTTGGGATTACAAGTGTGAACCACCACACCCAGCCCAAGTAATGGATTTTTAAGGGCCTCAGTTGCATAGGAGTTTTTTATTCAGGCTGCAAAATTCCTGTGTTTTATTATATATTCCTTTTTATCTGTATTTTCTATTCACAATTCTCTTGTTTCCATAGACCGCCTTTTTCACATATATCCATATATTTATACATTTTGTTGTAAACTCTAGTCTATAGGTATTTTTAATTCACATTGTATATTACATTCTGGAATGTACAAGGAACTAACACAAATCAATAAGAAAACAAATTAGCTTTAGACATTGAAGAATCTCCCCCAACCCATCGTCTATTATTTTTGTCTATGGTGACTTTCGTTTAACAGAAATCCTTGGTTTTTATGTAATCAAATTCATTGTGTTTTTTTTTTTTAAATTAAGAGGTTGGTCTTTTTGAGTCTTAAGAAGTTCCTTTTCATTCGAAGTCATAAAGTTCTTCCCAATAAATTATACAATAAGTTTGTCAGGTTTCTGAAAAACCAAAGCAGATGTTTTTAAACAGCTTTTGATCTCTTGCCTATACGGTGGCTCAACAAACAAGATGCCAGAATTTGCATGTGTGGGGCTGGGTTGTTTTGTGGTAAATAGTGAACTGTCTTAAAGTCCAAAAACAAAGCTTATTATTTCTGGATTGAAAAGGGAATACAGTAAGGGCCCCATGGAAAAGTACTAAGACTTTTTATGAAAATGAGGGGTGGAGGCACTCTGAGTGGTTAGATTTGCTCAACTTGTGTGCACTCGCTCAGTGGAGGAGATAGGAAGAAGGACATGTAAATAATAGGATATTGATTGATATTGATTAATCATTTTGCCGATGCCAAAGGACATACTTCACTGTCTGTGGAAAAGATTGCCTTTTTCTCCCTAGGAAGTTTGAATACCTTTTAAATATGAAATTTCATGTGCATGACCTATTTCCCCACTGCCACACCTCATGCTCACACTAGGCTTATGATTCAGTCACCCACTTAAGTTCACGTGATGTCATTTCAGGGAGAATTGCAGCTACATCCTTTTGAGAAGAAAGCGATTCAGCTGGGCATGTAGGTTAGAGTCTTTAGTTCTTAGTCTTCTCATTCCTCCTGTGAAATTATCTACATTTAACAGCTTTCACTGAGTATTTTCTTCTTTCACTCGACTGTTAGAAGACATTTCCCAACCTGCAAATATGCCATTCCTGCCCCAACATGACCAACTGAGAGCTTCAGGCTTTACATGATTTTTCACAGCCCACTGAGCTTTGTAATATATAGAACACAATCTTTAGAGCTTCAGTCCTTGCTGTGCTATAATACCAACATAATAAGAGTAGCTAATATTTATCAGATGTTTACTATACATCAAACACCAATGTCTCATTTCATGACTTGTGTGACTTAAGAGGTCCAGTTCTTAACACATGGTCTCATTTTAGTATCACAGTTCTGATGATGAAGGCAGGGCTGATGTTTCCTCATCTTGCTGAAGCATGGAGAGGACTTGTCTAAAATCCCATAGCTACTAAGGGGAGCTGGGGCTAAAACCCAGATTTCTTGGGTTTTCACACCCTGCTACTATTAGCTTAAGCCTATCAAATTCTGAGTGCTTATTGGCTGATAGGATAGTCACATCATGGAGTGCCTAAATTAACACTACATGTGAATTTACCGTGTCGACTATAGCTTGAAATGGCGCCCACTGCCTGATGCCTACCAGTCTTTCTATTATACATGCTTCATTAAGCCCTACCTTTTCTCCACATTTCCCAAGAAGTGATTTTCTTTGGTTCTTGAAGTACTTTTGTACAGATCATTGGAGCTTAACTTCGTTCCTTTATCAGGAAGTGTTTTATCTCACCTGCAAGTTCAGTAAACACAATTAGCAAGTGAGGTGGCTTTGGAAAGGAATAGTACACCCTGAAAGAAACATAGTGCCCAGAAACTAGATATTGGATATTGCAAATTTTTCTTTTAGGTTACTAGAGCCACCTTCCTGAAGCCCACTTGGAGAAAGTCACTCAAAATAGTTCTGTGACCACCATTTAGCCCCAGTTCTCATATTGTATACTTGAGACTCTGGACAGTAAGACGAGGCAGGGTTGTAAGTTTGCACCCAATACCAGCTTACAAATATTCTTACATTACTGGTTTGGGTTTTAAATTATCTTTGCCTCTTCTTTCTCATCTTCCCTCACTTTTTTGTCATTTCAATTAAAGAAATATTTGCCAAGTACTGACCTTAGTGTTGCTAGGCATGAGTTCCAAGGAGCTCAGATAGCTTAGAACCAGCCCCATTTGACTTGAGCTTTTCTCGCCTCTTAGCACAGAAGGAATGGGTTGGCGTCATTATGGTTTGTTTTGAGTAACATGTATTCAGTCTGATATGCTATAGGGAGTTGTTGAAGGTGTTTGAGCAGGGGAAGCAACTGGTTTAAAATTGTTGTATAGGAAGATAAATCTGGTAGTGGTGCACAGGATGGATTAGAACACAGGGCGACTGGGTATGGTGGTGATCTCTTACCTTTGTAGGACACTTGATAGTTTACAAGGCACTTCCATAGATGTATGATCTCATTTGCATGGATGCAAACTAGAGCTCAGAGAGGATTGGTGATAGCTGGCCTGTGTAGTAAGGGGTTGAAGAAAGGGGTTGTCACAGGGCGAGGAAGGTGGGACCATTGTGCATGGCATTTTAGAGGCCAAATCTATAAGGCTTGGGATCTAAGTAGATGTTGGTTATCAGGGAGAATAAGGAGTCAGATAATACTGAGATTTTATGGTTAGTCTTCTGGGAAGGGTGTTGCCATTTACAGAAATCAGGAGATGAGACAGAGAATATATGCAAGTTTGGTTTTGAATATTAGATTGAGGGGCAGGTGGGTAGTTGAGGTAGCCATATCCAGTGGACAGTTTAAAAGCTGGGTCTAAGATTGGGGCCAGGTGTTTTTGATATTTAGAAGGTCATTGGTGACTTTAGAAAGTAATTTCAGGAGAGTGGTGGAGGAGGAAGCCATGTCAGAAGGATAAGAAATCGGTGGTTGCTGAGGTGGAACTGTGGGAGTGGGAAGGGCTAGATGAGGGAGCAGTGGGAGGTGTTGGTCATCATGCGCTTTTCCTTAGGTACAGAAAGAAGGGAAATAGAGTGAGCCAGACTGCAAGAGGATTTTGAGGTGGAGAGGGTGTGAGTTTGAGGAGCCTCCAACAGAAAACTTCTTTGTACGGGATTAGGTGAAATCACTTGTGGAGTGAGGAGGAAAAGGATTTGGTGCTAAAAAAAAAAGTAGAAATTGGGACAGTAGATGTTGGAAGTATTGAGGGAGGTCAAGAAAAGGTGAACCAAAGGAGGCTGAACGTTGCAAGTTTTCAGTGACTCCAGTCAGCATAGTTTTGTGGCTTTCCAGTAGGTCGTAGAAACCAGAAAGCAGGATTAGAAGGAGTAAGCATTGGGCCCTTTTCTGGACTGGGAATTAGAAGTCAAGGAGCATGGGGAGAGTTGAGAAGTTCAAGGGTGTTAGCCAGTTATTATTTCATAGTTGGGCAGAGGTGAGTAAAACTCTGTTTGCAGGCCATTATTAGTTCTGGCAATAGGTGAGGGAGAAGGTCAAAGCTAATATTTTAAAGAATAGTTTGGAATTATTGATGGTTTTCAATTATCTCTGCTAAATCATTTTATTTAGGGAGTATCTGCACAGAATTAACAAGGAAAGAGAGCAAAGTCTTGTATCACTGGCCCATTATTGCCTGTTTTCCTCATCTGTAAAACAGGAGTAGTGTAGCCTACCTTCACCTTGGTTTCGTGCTTCACCAGGAATTTTGTGCTGTGTGCAATCTTGTATTAGGCATTGTCACGACTTAATGACCTTTTTGGGCAGCGTTTTCCTATATAGAGTTATGAGTGCATCTTTTATAAACTCCATTTACTCCTTATTGGAGATTATTATAAATTTCTCTAAAGCTCCTCCCTCACACATCTTTTTCACCTTTCATTCTTTGAAGTCAAACTTTCACTTTCTTTAAAGAAGGTCTGAAGAAAACCCTGCGGGATGAGATCAATGCCATTCTGCAGAAGAGGATTATGGTGCTGGATGGAGGGATGGGGACCATGATCCAGCGGGAGAAGCTAAACGAAGAACACTTCCGAGGTCAGGAATTTAAAGATCATGCCAGGCCGCTGAAAGGCAACAATGACATTTTAAGTATAACTCAGCCTGATGTCATTTACCAAATCCATAAGGTAAAGTATTCCCAGGTTCCCATGTGTATTCATTCTGTTATTCTGCAAGCTGTTTCATGTATCAGGGCAGGCTGCTATGCCGAGTGCTCCGGAGAATAAAGAATAAAGAGGCAATTTATTCAGAAAGCAGGTTTTGGACATCAAATAAAAGTTATGTACTGTGTTAAGCACTCAGGATAAGGGAATGAGGTAGGTAGGTTTTCTGCCCTTGAGGCATGTAAACTCTAGTGAAAAACTATGAGAATCTGGACAAATAAGGGTTTTCACACTAGTGAGTGTGAGAAAACTATCTTATTTAAGTTACTGCAACAGCCCTGATGAAGAAATGCTTAAAGGTGGTTGGTATCTTAGCTTTGGCTGCTGTATTACCTGTTACCATAGACTGGGTTATACAAGCACACATTTATTTCTCACAGTTCTGGAAGCTGGAAGTCCACAGTCAAAGTGCCAGCAGATCCTGTGTCTGGTGAGGGCCCTCTTGTTTATAGATAGCTGTCTTTGTATCTACATGACGGAGAGCAGAGAGAGAACAAAAAACTCTCATATTTGTGCTTATAAGGGCACTGCTGTGTTCTCAATGTTTGTGTCCCCATGAGATTCATATGTAAAATCCTAATGCCTAGTGTGATGGTATTAGGAGGTGCCCTTATAAAAGAGGCTCAAGGGCGCTTATTCACCCCTTCCACCATGTGAAGATACAGTGAGAAGATGCTGTCTATGAACTAGAAAGCTGGCGCTCACCCATTATAAAATTCTAAGATACAATTATCATTCATGTATTTTGTATTTTAGTCTAGTTTTCTATACTTGGAGTTTAAAAAATTAAATTGGGATTACATTGCTTCGTACTGTCTTATAATTTGCATTTTTTACTTATATACCATGAGTATTAAATATTCTGGAACATGGTTTTAATAACTTCATAATCTATTCCATGTATATATCATCATTTATTTAACTAATCTCCTTATTCCTAGGCATTAAGTTTATTTTCAGTTTTTCTTGTTCTTTTAAAAAAAACTTAAATTAGTTCTTATAAAACAAATCTCGTAGATAATACATTCCCATTTGACCATACTCTAAATTGCTATTTTTTCCCCAGAGATAACCACTGATATTAGTTGGTGTGTGTCGTCCCAGATTCCTTTGTTAGGCATTTTCATATATGTGTATGTGTGTATACGTGAGTGAATATATATATGTAGAAAACTCATAGTACTCTGTGTATGTTTTTTTAATTTAATGGTGTCATGCTTTACGTATCATTCTATTTTTTTTTTTACTTAACAATACTTTGCAGAATCTTTCCATGTCAGTATTTGTAGATATACACAGTTTTTTTGCTGTCACATGGCATGTAATAAAGTGGATATATTTTAGTTTATTTAGCTGTTTCCCTATGGGTAGATATTTCGGATGTTTGTTATTGTTACTATAAATGTGCGTATCTTGGTTTTTATCTCCCAGTGCTTCTGCAACCATTGTCCATCGACTTAAGAGGGGTTGGGTTTATTCAGTATTGGAAAATCAAGGGGGTCAAGGGATTCCAGGTTGCTAGTCAGATTGAGGTTGAGATGATCCAAGGAGTGGAGCCAGGGAGACGAGTTTCGAAGAGAGCACAAAGGAGCATCAAGATCTTCAGGGTTTCAGTAGGGATGTGATGCTTGTTCAGAGAGACTAGGAGATGTAGACTGAACAATTGTGGTCAGAGGTTGAGATCTCTGAGATGGTATACTTCTCGGTGGGCATCAGGTTCTGCCAAAGCAGGAAGAAGATAAGGGAACAGAACTACCATTTGTTGAGTGCCCATTGTGTGCCAGACATTTGATGCATTATCTTTTTGGTGTTGTTTTTTTGAGACAAGGTCTCACTCTGTCACTCAGGCTGGAGTGCAGTGGTGCCACCGTGGCTCACTCTAGCCCACTGTGGCTCACTTGAACCTCTGGGCCCAAGCAGTCCTCCTGCCTTAGCCTTCCGAGTAGCTGGGACTACGGGCATGTGCCACCATGCCTGGCTAATTTTTCGTGTTGTTTTGGTTAGAGACAGGGTCTTTCTATGTTGCACAGACTGGTCTTGAACTCCTGGCCTCAAGCAGTCCTCTCACCTTGGCTTCCCAAAGTGCTATGATTACAAGCGTGAGCCACCATGCCTGGCTGATGTGTTACCTTATGTTAGCATATAGCTACCCTGTGAAGTAGGGTTATAATATATTTGAATGAAGAGACTGAGACTCAGAGAGTTTAAGGGACTTGATTAAGTTCTTATAACCTTAGCATGTTAACATTGTCTGAATTCAAGTTTCGTGTTTATTTATTCATACCACGTGCCTTTCTGTGAAATCCTTACACCTTTTTGCATCTCTACCTTCTAATGCAGTGCCTTACTCTTAGTAAATGGTCAAAAGGTAGCTGCTGATAATGGTGGTAATGAAAGGGCATGTTTATTCTGGGGGCACAAGAAACTCTAAAGCTCATAATTGACATTATAATCTCTTGTTGCAGGAATACTTGCTGGCTGGGGCAGATATCATTGAAACAAATACTTTTAGCAGCACTAGTATTGCCCAAGCTGACTATGGCCTTGAACACTTGGTAAGAATTCCATTGTTCCATGTGTCTAAGATGCTTACGAGCGTTTGCTGCATTGGTAGTTGCTAGTGAGTAAAGCACTGGAAGCTGCAGAGTCAAGCTAATGCCTAGTTATCTGTTGTTTATGATGAGACAGGGAAAATGGTGTGAATCCTTCCAGCTTGTGAACACAGTGGCCCATTCATTTTCCAACTGGCTTCTTTTATGGGCAAGTAATAATCAAATATAAATGATACTTAATTATGCAGTAGCTGTTGATAAAGGCATAATCATTGGCCGTATGCACACAGTATTGTGAGGCCTTTTTAAGTATTAGATGGCAGCCTTGGTTTCTTTCTTTTTTAAAAATTGTGATTAAATAACACTAAAATTTATCATAATTATTTTTAAGTGTACACTTGAGTGGCATTAAGTACATTCACAGTATTGTGCTATCATCACCACTGTCCATTTCCAGAACTTTCTCATTTTCCAAAACTGAAACTCTGTACCCATTAAACAATACCTTCCCATTCTACCCCCAACTCCAGCCCCAGCATACTCTATTCTACTTTCTGTCTCTATGAATTTGACTATTCTAGGTACCTTAGATATGTTGAATCATATAGTATTTGGCCTTTTGTGACTAGTTTGTTTCACTTAATGTAATGTCCTCAAGGTTCATCCATGTTGTAGTATGTATCAGAATTTCCTTCCTTTTTAAGGTTGAATAATATACCATTGTGTGTATATACCACGTTTTGCTTATTCATCTGTTGATCATTTGGGTTGCTTCTACCTTTCGGCTATTGTGAATATGCAATGTTGCTATATACATGTATATATAGCATGTATTCAAGTCCCCACATTCAATTTTTTGTATATATACACAGAAGTTGAATTGTTAGATGATATGGTAATTCTGTTTAATTTTTTGAGGAACTGCCATACTGCTTTTCAGAGTGGCTGTACCTTTTTTTTTGAGGCAGGGTCTTGCTCTGTCACCCAGGCTGGAGTGCAGTGGAGTGATCTCGGCTCACTGCAACCTCCGCCTCCTGGGTTCAAGTGTTTCTCCTGCTTTAGCCCTCCAAGTAGCTGGGGCTACAGGCTTGCTCTACCATGCCCTGCTAATTTTTGTATTTTTTGTAGAGACAGGGTTTTGCCATGTTGCCCAGGCTGGTCTCCAATTCCTGAGCTTAGGTAATCTGCCCACCTCGGCCTCCCAAAGTGCTGGGATTACAGGTGTGAGCCACCGCGCCTGGCCGGCTGTACCATTTTACATTCCCACTAACAGTGAACAAGAGTGTCAGTATTTCCACATCCTCACCACCATTTATTTTCTATTTTTTTAAATAGTAGTCATCCTAATGATACTATTGGCAGATTTGATTTCCTTTTAATCGACATGATGCTTCCATATTTAAATTTTATAAAACCTTGATGATAGAAATATATGGTAGATGCTAATGTCCCCATTTTTGTTTGGCATGTTTCCAGACACATTACTCTGTTTTCAGGTAAGCAGTGTTTTCCAGTTACTTTTGTGTCATTTTAGAGCAGAAGTTGGCCAACGTTTTTTAATAAAGGGTCAGATAGTACATATTTCGGCTTTGTTAGCTACAGACAGTCTTTTGCAACTGCTCAACTCCATCATGTAGTGTGGAAGCAGCTATAGACATTATATAAATAAATGGACTTACTTTATCCCAGTAAAACTATTTACAAAAACAGGCGGTGGACCCAACTTGCCCTATGAGCCAGAGTTTGCCAGTACCTATTTAGGATATTCTGGTTGTTAAATTCCTGGATGTGGTTATTCAAGACACATAGGATCTTAGGAATTCAAAGGAACTTGAAAATCACAAGTCTAGTTTCTCCTGACTTGGTCTGTGGAAGAGCTTCTGGAGGGCCGTGAACCTCCTTAAATCATAGGCAACACTATGTGTGTATGTGCATATTTGCTTTTTATTTCCTGGTAAGAGGGTTCATAGTCCTTTATCAAATTCTCAGGTGGTTAATAATATGCAAAAAGTTCAGAATTACTGATCCCAACTGTTGTACATGAATCAAGGCCTGGAAAAGTTGCTGTGGGAACTGCCTGGCCAGGCAGTGACAGACTAGTGCTTGAACCTGCGTGTTTTGCCTCTTAAGCCTATGCTCTTTCCATTGCTTTATTTTTTTCTTAATTCTCAGAATATTTAACTACGTAAGTTATTCTCTGACATGCTAGATGTCTAGGGATTGCCCTTTTTACTGGCTAGCTCATGGTTTGGGAGGAGAACCTAAAAGCAGTTCCCAAGGACTCTTGTCTTTCCTTGCTGCCTTTCAAGTCTGGAGCTGATATGCCTGCTTGGCTAAGATTTCACTCAGACCTCAGATTAATTCACTCTACATTTTGTTACTGAAGAAAACTGAGTATTAGATGGTCATGAATCCATTATTTATTGTGCGGAGGAAAAGAAGGACAAGCTAACGTTTGTGGTTGATACGTTAGGCCTACCGGATGAACATGTGCTCTGCAGGAGTGGCCAGAAAAGCTGCCGAGGAGGTAACTCTCCAGACAGGTAGGGAATGTTCTTCTCTTTTTTTGCACACGTGGTTCCTTTGATACTGTCAGCTATAATGTGCTGTCCTTATTGCAGTTTTTCCTTATGTGGCCTTTGGCTTACGAGTAACACTGCAGAGACTGTATTTTACATGTTTGTAGATTACTTCTCTGCAGTTTCATAATCAAGCACTCAACATCTTTGAATTGATGCCAACTCTGTGGTCCTTGGGCTCGGAATTTGCTCTTTCACCCTGGGTTAGCCTGACTTTGTAGCTAGGCCCCTGACTTCCTTGTGTATTTAGAGCTGAAATAATTTATGTCTCTTTGGAAGCACATCATCATGTCATTAAAAGTAACAGCTGGCTGTTTTGATGATCTTGGCTGTTATTAGGATAATTGATCTCATTTTTTTAAAGCCACCCTCATTCCCATGATTGGCTGATATAGGTAAAGATATTGCCTTTCAAGCATTTTCCCTTTATACTATTGATGTCCTTGAAGGCTCTGTGAAGCACACAAAAAAGTGTGGCATTAGATTCAGTCTTGCTTGGACTTGAAAAGTGGCTCCTGAAATAACTAGCCTCCTGGCTGGATGCCATCAGAACACTTGGGCACCAGCTGGTAGGAGGCTTTGAGGGAGGGAAAGGAATATAAGAAATATATGTAGCCCCTTAAGACTTGGAAACGTGAAGTTATTGCCAACAGGAAAGCAGAATTGCTGTGAAGTTATACACAGCATACTAATGAAGACCAAAGCAGGAACTCTGTTTCTAAGAGATAATGTTTAAATTCATGGAAATGCATAGACTATTACTCCAACAGAGTCACAGGTCAGAGGACACTGAACCAGCTAAAGCAGGGAGAGAGAAGGACATTTTTCTTATACCCACGTTATTGGTTAGCTTTGGGGATGCAAAAGAATATTTGGGCCTGTAACCTGTTCAAAAGCTGGTTTATCAATTAGCTGATAGTCCTCTCCAGTTAAATTACAAAGCATAGCCCAGGTTATTGAGTGGCTAAAGTCATCAAAGGTAATGAGCAGTACAACCCTGGCTTCTTTAGGAATGAACACAACTTGCTACACCATTTTTAGAAGCACCTGGACTTCAGGGCAGAGGAAAAGTTATTAAAGAAAGATTTGCTCTGCTTCATACTTCAATTTCAGGCTTTATAATTGTTAATCCTGATTTAGTATTTCCTTCTAGTGAAGGGCCTGCAATATGGTACTAGAGAGCATTTCAAGTTAAATGCTACTGTAAGGTGATTTTGCAGAACTTACGTTAAGTTCAAAACCTTCAGGGCTTCATAAAAATAGGAAGAGAGGGAATTTGTCCAAACACAGCTGTGGTGATAGAAAAGGATTACTTACTGAAATGTTTTAGTTAGTTGTGTGAGAATTGAGAGTTGTGGGGACTGGTTTCGTGATGATATGTGTATATCTCCTATATGGCATAATTTCCTTAGTGGGATCTGGGGCAGCCCCATGATCAAATATATGTAAGCAGAATCTATGAATCATCTAAGTTGGATAAAGACTATAAATAGTCTCTCGTTAGTTTAGGAGAGGTCAAGTTTTATTGTCAAACTGAGAAAAAAGTTTGGGCTTTTAGAGCTTTTTGGATTTCAGAGTTGTGGACAAAAGATTATAGACCTGTGTTCCAGAAAAAAATCTTATTGGCTATTCATTCACGACAAAAAATGTTCAGCCACTTAGAGATCTCACACTTGTTTTTCTTTTCCCAAAGGAATTAAGAGGTTTGTGGCAGGGGCTCTGGGTCCGACTAATAAGACACTCTCTGTGTCCCCATCTGTGGAAAGGCCGGATTATAGGAACATCAGTGAGTATTTACCACATATAATCATTGATCTTGGGGAAGTACTCCCCAAGCTTCAGTAAGCTATAAATCTGTAAAATGGAATCAATAACAGGATCTACCTTAGAGTTACTGTGATTTAATCCATGTAAAACGTGTACAGCAGTGCCTGGAATATAGTAGACATCTAAATAGAAAGTTAGCTATGATGATTATTATTATTTGAACTTGCTTTCAAATATATATGGTGGTGTGTTAATGCTGCTTTGTCAGCTGTGGAAATAAAACCAACTAAAATAAAGCTGTAAACTCAGAAGTTGAACAAATTTGGATACTAGGTTTGTGGTCTATTATAAAATAGCACACAATATCCTCATTTATCAGAAGGCAGTCCAAACTATCTAGACATCTGTATTAGTCCATTTTCACACTGCTGATAAAGGCGTACAAGACTGGACAATTTACAGAAGAAAGAGAGGTTTAATGGACTTACAGTTCCATGTGGCTGGGGAAGCCTCACAATCATGGCAGAAGGCAAGGAGGAGCAAGTCACGTCTTACACGGATGGTAGCAGGCAAAGAGAAAGCTTGTACAGGGAAACTCCCCCTTATATAACCATCAGATCTCGTAAGACTTATTCACTCTTATAAGAACAGCACAGGAAAGACCTGCCCCCATGATTCAATTACCCTCACCAGGTCCCCTCTCACAACACGCGGGAATTCAAGACGAGATTTGGGTGGGGACACAGCCAAACCATATCAACATGTTAGCATTATACATGTTATAAACTACCATATATAAACATACTTATATTGAGATCTGACAAAACATCCAAGTATCTAGGTCAATTTCTAAGCATCAAGACTATAGAAAACAAAAAGCATTAAAATATCAGAGCTGAATAGTCATGATACCATGTCTGGTAGTGCAGTGGGTGGAGATGATGAGATCAAGCAAATATGGTTTGTAGGTTTTTGGTTTATGGAACTTTGTGTGCTGTGATACCACACTTTTTCACTAGGAGTTGTTCATACCAGGCTTATGTGTTGTTGATGCTCTCTTTGGTCTAGACCTGCCAGTGGGGAGCTAACTTACCCTTGCTCTTGGGCTGTACAAGGTGAAGTACGGTAAGTCTTCACTTAACGTCATTGGCAGGTTTTTGAAAACTGCATCTTTAAGCAAAATGATGCATAGCAGGCCCTCAAATAATGTCATTTCCTTCAACAGAATTTCATTATAATGTTGATTAGAAAGAAAATACTGGTTTTGTTACATATTGTCTCAGTCAAAGTTGCAATTTCTGAGAACCTGTCAACGATGTTACAAGAGGACTTTGTTGTGTAGGCTTCTCTGTTGGATATCTGAGCATTATCTTGGCTTACTGCAGCCTCCACCTCCTGGGTTTGAGCGATTATCCTGTCTCACTCTCCCCAGTAGCTGGGGCTACAGGCGTGTGCCATCACGCCTGGCTAATTTTTATATTTTTAAAGTAGAGTTGGGGTTTCACCATGTTGGCCAGGCTGGTCTTGAACTCCTGACCTCAAGTGATCTGCTCACCCCAGGCCCCCACAGTGCTGGCGTGAGCCACTGCACTGGGCCAACCCAAGACATTTCTAACAAAAATTTTACCTAGGAGTGATTGAACACTTTTTGTTTGAGACTGAAATTGCTCACCAGACAGGTTTCTTCTCTGACAGAGTTGGTGTAAGAGCAGAGACAAAATCTGCGGGCTTGCAGCCCTTTATCACAGAGAGTGACTTCTACTCAACCTGTGACCTCTCTGCATCAGTGTGGCATGTTTCTCACAGCCATCTCTTAACCGGTTGATTGAAATGAGCTATGGAAAGAATGATATGTTTCAGAGATGTTGAATGGGGGGTACATGTTCAAGAAATTCATACGCCTTCCCTCTCACTCCTCAGCTCATACATGGGAAGTGGAAGTTACGTGGCAGGTGTTTAGGAACAGCTGCCTTCAGCTTACTTGTTTACCTTCTGTCCCTGCCACCTTTCTTTATTTGGTTTCTTACAAAAGATCATGTTCTTAAACTATGCATTGTAAACCAGCAATAGTTCACAGGTGCCAGACCTACACTCGAGATACCCTAGGGCCATTCAGAGGATATTGATGACTGATGTGCTGGGTGTGATTTATTTTTTGCAGCATTTGATGAGCTTGTTGAAGCATACCAAGAGCAGGCCAAAGGACTTCTGGATGGCGGGGTTGATATCTTACTCATTGAAACTATTTTTGATACTGCCAATGCCAAGGTGAGTTAAGGGAGAAAAAACAGACAAGGCTGGGGTAAGGGCTGTGGGTGAGTCCCCTAATGTAGGGAGAAGATAATATTAGCCATTATCAAAGTTAAATAAATTACCTGTATTTGCTCCATTTTATTCTTGAGTATTTTTAACTGAGGCCAGTACAATAAGAAAAACTTTAAACCTGCTTTTGAAGCTTTTAAAATAACTTTTTTCTAATTATGAAAATAAATATTTTCATATATAGCTAGTATAAATGCATATATCCTGAGGTAATACATGCTGCTGGTTCTAAATTTGAAAGATACATAAATATATGGAGTGAAAAGTGAATATCCTTTCCTTTCCTAGTCTCTAGTTATCCAGCTCCCTTTCCTGATACAACCACTATTACCAGTTTGGGGGTCCTGACAGATGCGATACAGATATAGGCATGTGTGTATGTGTGTGTTTGTGTTCCTTACATACATGCAAAGGCACATAAGTGTATATGGAGAGAGAAGCAAATATCCTTATACATACGTTTTTACACAGTGTATCTGTAGGATACATTTCTACAAGTTAAATTGCTGAATCAAAGGGTATATGCGTTGTTAATTTTTATCTTTAGTGTCAAATTACCCTCATTTGCGACTGGACTCATTTATACTCCCTTCAGCAAGCAATGTACAATAGTCCTGGTTTCACGACACCCTCACTAGCACTGTGTATTATTAAACTGTTTGACCTTTTCCAGTTTGACAGGTGGTACCTCACTGTAGTTTTAATTTGTATTTTTCTTACTACTAATGTAATTGAGCATCTTTCTTCAGTTTTAGAGCCATTTATATTTCATTTTCTATGATTTATGTCTTCTGTCCTTTTTTTCTATTGGACTTTGGCTTTTTAAAATTGAGTCCTTTACTGAGGAAATCAGGCCCCTCTCAATAATAAGTAGCAGCTCCTGTCCTCCAGTTTGTTTGACATTTGACTTTCTTTATGGTGGTGATGGTGGTAGTGTTGTGTTATTGTTAGTTTGTGTGTGCGTTTTAATGGTGTAGGAGAATTTTTCTTAAATGTTGTGTGGTTGAATTTACAGATTCTATTTTTTTGTTGTGGGAGGGGGAGACTACACTTACAGAGCCACTCCTCAGTTGAAGAGAAGAAAAAAATGGAAAAATGGCCTTTTCCTCCGTAGTACTTTACAGTTTCATTAAATGTTTCATTGTTGTGGGAATCAGACCACAGGTCCAGAATTTTTGAACTTTTCAAAAAAATCGTTTTCTAAAATACTTGCAAGCAGGAAGAACGTAGAGAGCCACTACCAGCCTGAAGCTAGATGACCACCCTACCTCATTCTTAACACATCACTTTCACTGGGTTCTTTTTTATATGTCTTTTTAGAAATTGTTTTGTGAATCTGCAGTAAACAAATTATAATTTGAAAAGGAATTCAGATACACATTTTGAAAATGAGAGCAGTAACAAGATAAGGAATATATCTGAAATGAGATTCGTATATACATCTGGAGAGAGTCACGGTATTGTTCAGATTAGAAATAAGAGGGATTAACAGGAGGGTTAAGCATTAAGGATAGGTTTTGTTGAGTTTCTAAGTTTTCGAATGTGTGGCATACATTATGATTATATGGAACTAATGTCCCTCACGGTGCATCTTGTATTTATTTTGGAGTGAGAAATAGAATCGAGAGCTAACTTTTTTCCTTTAAAGTTTAGTTTTCCTACCACCATCTATTAAACATCCTGTTATTTCACAGTGATAGGAATGATGTGGAGCATTATCCTTATCATCCAAAATTCTGGAGTGCATTTGGATCTAGTGTTTTCTATCAATCTGTCTGCTGATGTGGCACTACTGCACCATTTACCACAACATTAGAATATGTCTGAGTAACTGGTTGGCTTAGATTTTTTGCATTGAGTCCCACCCCATTTTCCAGAACTTTCATGGCTATTCTTATATGTTTGTTTTCCGTAAGATCTTTAGGATCAATTTGTCTAGTTCTAAAGAGGAAATTCTGATATTATTGATTTAGTAACTTTCCATGAAAAAAACCTACCATCACAGGAAAGATGCACATTAATTACAGGTTGCATTCTGATTTCAGAGAATTAATTGTGAAAACATACATATCTTAGAATCAAGAAATATAATGATAAAAAAGAAGATCCATTATCTGGAACTTAAAATGTGGACTGAACAGCACAGAATGACATAGGATTTGTACCTTTACTACCTAATCTAAGCTCATGCTGTTTTTCGCAATGATGGATACTGTTGGTTCATATACCTACCATGTGTATGAAAGGATGTGAAAGGCAGGGACATTCTTATTTATTTATTTTTGAGACAGAGTCTTGTTCTGTCATCAGGGCTGGAGTGCAGTGGCATAATCACAGCTCAACTGCAACCTTGAGCTCCTAGGCTCAGGCAGTCGTCCTGTCTCAGCCTCCTGAGTGTTACTTATTTATTTTTAATTTTTATTGAAGAAAGGAAGAAAGAATACCCCTTCAGCTCCTCCTCAGTGGAAATACTAGTTCCTAGGTGAACTTTCAGTCAGCTTTTGTTTTGTTTCAATATGCACAGTATTACACTTGAGAAAGGGGTGCTGGGGTTGTGCCTTATAAGGAAGACACTTCTTCCCAGAGAGCTTGATGTATATCTTATCTGAAGAGGTCTTAGAAAAGGGTGCATTCTAATCAGGAAGTTAGACTAATCTTGGACACACTCTCAGAAATAAAGACGTTCTTTCTTTTTTCCCTGACAGGCAGCCTTGTTTGCACTCCAAAATCTTTTTGAGGAGAAATATGCTCCCCGGCCTATCTTTGTAAGTTCTAAAGTGTTTGCACAATACATTCTTTTATTAATAATTGTCCTTTTGAGCATGTTTTTCCCCCGCTTTGCATAGTAGAACTATTAATGGTATCTTTAGAACTCATCTACTTTAACTTCCATTGTTCACTTCCCTTCCACCACTTCTGGACCAATAACAGTCTTATATCTGGAGAGGCAAGGAAAATGAATCTAGAAGTAGCTGATGGAAGGCAAACTGTTCAAAAGAAGCCCACTGTATTGGTCCTTGAAGCCAAAGGCTTCAAGGCTCAGTCTCATTAGGGCCCAAGGAGGGGTGGACTTGCATGCTGATGGCCACATACCCAACACCTAAGACACCAGACTGCCAATTTATTAACTCAGTAGGCAGACCTCTCTGCGAGTCCTAAAATTGCTTGGTGAGAAGCGAATTGAATCAAAACAAGGGTGTTAGATAAATCCAATGTTTAACAGCAGGAGGTCAGGATGACTTGATGTTATCTCTGGGAAATCTGCCTCTAATGAGACTGGATGTGTGAATTCCAAAGTTGTTTTGGTCATTGCTTTTGCTACAGTGACTTTCCCTTGTCTCTGTTTCTGTGGCTTCCTGCCTCTTTCCCTAGTCTCTTGGCACATGTCTGTTCTGACTATTATAGAAAGTGCCCCCTTTGAATTTGAGTTCCACATTTCTTTTCCTTGTAAAAGAGCAAAGGAAGTCAGTGTGTTCATTTTATTTTGCCTTTATATCTATATTCTTAACTTGAGTCTGTATTGTTGACTTTGTTTACTTTGTCAATTCAGATTTCAGGGACGATCGTTGATAAAAGTGGGCGGACTCTTTCCGGACAGACAGGAGAGGGATTTGTCATCAGCGTGTCTCATGGAGAACCACTCTGGTGAGTGATCCATCTTTCTGTAACTTCTTTTCTTTTTTGGGGAACCTTTTCTGATGGCTGTGGAGTGTGACCTGGGAGGGGATTGCTTCTACATATTTTCACTGTACCACTTCTGCTATATTGACTTTCCTTTAAGTACTTTCAGACTTTTCCCTAAAGGTTTCAGAAGATCGCTGCCTAAACGGGTCAATTTGAGGGACTGGGAGAGTTCTCATACTTACAAATGGTTGCCTGTTTTCTGTAGGCGTGCCCCTTATAGTTTGCAGTGCTTTGCAAATTTTAGGGCAGTGACACTCCCTATTTATGAGGCAACCAGAAGCAATCTGTCATGGAATAAGGTGGGAATTCTAAAGCTCAGGTTTTTATCTGTAAAGTGAACATGGCAGTTGGCATGGTGGTGTGGGCCTGTAGTCCCAGCTACTTGGGAGGTGGAAGCAGGAGAGGATCTCTTAAGGCCAGGTGTTGGAGGCTGTAGTATACTATGATAGCTCCTATGAATAACCACTGTATTTCAGCTTGGCCAACATAGCAGGATCTGTCTCTAAAGAATTAAATTAACATGACTTTTACAATCTGCTTAAAAATAACTCCCTATTTATATTTTATTTTTCATATCCAAATGTTTTAAATTGTGTACTTTGAGTGACATGGAAGAGTATCTGAGTATATATGCTGTTTTTTGCCTGGACTTTTTTTATTTCTGGGCTTTTTTCTTCTATTCCTACTGCCTGGAAGCTATGCTGGTCCCCTTCCCCCTTTCCCCCCTTTCCCTCCTCCATACCTGTTCACTCTGCTGACTTCTTCTTAGCCTTTAAGACTCATCTCAAGAATCTTCCCTCCAGAGAACATTCCCTCTCTCACTAGCGCAGGTCGATGTTCTTCGTTTACTTTTATTTTAGCTTTTGCCATAAAAAGTAAGAGTAATAGACATTTGTTGAGAGTTTGCTGTGTGCCAGGCTCTGTTCTAAGTGCTTTATGTGAATTCTTTAATTCTGGCAATAACACCTTGAGGGTAGGTACTGGTATTAATGTCCCCATTTTAACAAGAAGGGTACTGAGACTCAGAGGTTGTAACTCGCCCAAGGTGAAGTAAATAGAGGATCTGGGGACAGGAGCATGCTTTTAACCCCTGTGTTAGATCACATTTTATCAATTATGTGATGTTCTTTTTTTTCACACTTAAATGTTTATAATTACAGGGTGCATCTTACAGTTGACTTAATGTCATATTGTGATTTCTTAAAAGGTGCTATTAATTTTAAGTGCATTAATAGACATTTGATTGGGCCTGACGACTAAGAAAATCATTGTCTTGAACTGGGTTGTGATGACCTCCTTTACAGCTTATGAGTTTTTCCTGAGCAGTCTCTTCATCTTTATTTCTGTAGTGTTTAGTGGAATTCTTGGCACATAGTAGGGATGTCATAAACGTTTAACAAAAAAACTGAGGGTAGGAAATGTAGAGGTCTCTGAAGACAAACTTTATCTAGTTTATTTAAATTTTTGTGCCTATCTGTGAGTATTTGGAGCATTCCTCCCTTCGCTTTCTCTTTTCCCGCCCCTTTGCTAAGTCTGAATTTGTTATGTGGTTAAGTAAATGACACTGTAATGGATATATGTTACTCATGATGTATTTGTCAAAACCCACAAAATATACAAAACCAAGAATGAACCCTAATGTAAACCATAGACTTTAGTTACTAATCATGTATTGCTATTGGTTCACATTCTAATAGGTGTACCACACCAGTGTGAGATCTTAATAATAATGATATAGTCTTTCCTAGCGATTAGGTAAAACCTCTGTGTTGTCCTGGGTGTCACTGGAGTCTTTAGTTTGCTGACAGTTCTCAAGGGCCCCTTAGAGGACGTTCTTCCTGCCACTGCCTCACCTCCAGGAGCCCCAAGATGAGGTTTTATCGAGGTCTAAATAATTTATGTTTTTATTTCTTAAGCAAACATTCAGTTCTGACTTTTGATCCACTCAGTGGTTAATTAAAAATTTTTAAAAATAATCCTTTCTATGACTTCAGCTACAGTCCATTCACAGAGAGAATGTATTTGCTCTCTATTTCGTTACGAATCTTACAGACTGTAGGGGCAGATAGAAGGCAGCAAATAATATGTGAAAAGGATACATTTTCTTACATATATGTAGGAAACTTTTGCTTACTGACTTGTGATTATCACGAACTATAGAACAGTGGGATAGAGCCTTTATATTACTGGTAATTCATCAAATATTTATTGAAATACTACTATATGTCCTGGAATACAGTCCAATCTGGAATAGTCCACACTAGGAGAAATGCATAAGTGAATTAAAATATAAAATACACAGTGCTATACAGAACTATGAATAAAAATCTGGCAATACATAGGAGTAATGGAGTTCTTGTAGAATTTAGAGACAGCTTGTAAAGAAGGTGACATTTGAGCTAGGTTTTGAAAATGGGAGACAGAGTTTTCTTTTTTTCTTTTGAGATGGAGTCTCAAAATTCTCTCATTATCAACAGCTTGCATTGGTGTGGTACACCTATTACAATATGAACCAATATCAATACATTATTAACTGAAGTCTGTAGTTTACCTTAGGGTTCATTCTTGGTTTTGTATATTCTGTGGGTTTTGACAAATATATCATGAGTAACATATATCCATTACAGCATCATACAGAGTAGTTTCATTGCCCCAAAAGTCCCTTGTGCTCCAGTTATTTATTCTTTTTCCTGGCCTGCTGGCAACAAATCTTCTCACTGTCCTATAGTTTTGCTGTTTCCAGAATGGTATATAGTTGAGACCACATAGTATGTAGCCTTTTCACATTGGCTTCTTTCACTTAGTGATCTTCATTTAAGGTTCATTCATGTCTTTGTAGGCTCGATAGCTTATTTCTTTTTAACGCTAAATAATATTCCGTTGCGAAGATGTACGGTGGGTTTTTTTCCCATTCATGTATTGAAGACCATCTTGGTTGCTTCGAAGTTGTAGCAATTACAAATAAATCTCCCATGGCCTTTCCATGCTACTCACAGAGGGGTCCATCCGGCGTTGTTCTGGATTCCCATGTAACTTAAAGGGAAACTTTCACAATGTCCAGAGCCCCTGATGTCCTGCAAATGAAAGAGGAGGATGTCCTTAAGTTCCTTACAGCAGGAACCCATTTAGGTGGCACCAAACTTGACTTCCAAATGAAGCAGTACATCTATAAAAGGAAAAATGATGGGATCTACATCATAAATCTGAAGAGGACCTGGGAGAAGCTACAGCTGGCGGCTTGTGCCATTGTTGCCATTAAAAACCCTGCTGATGTCAGTGTCATATCCTCCAGGAATACTGGCCAGAGGGCCGTGCTGAAGTTTGCTGCTGCCACTGGAGCCACTCCAGTTGCTGGCCGCTTCACTTCTGGAACCTTCACTAACCAGATCCAGGCAGCCTTCCGGGAGCCATGGCTTCTTGTGGTTACTGACTCGAGGGCTGACCAGCAGCCTCTCATGGAGGCATCTTTATGTTAACCTGCCTACCATTGCGCTGTGTAACACAGATTCCCCTCTGCGCTATGTGGACATTGCCATTGCATGCAACAAGGGAGCTCACTCGGTGGGTTTGATGTGGTGGATGCTGGCCTGAGAAGTTCTGCACATGCGTGGCACCATTTCCTGTGAACACTTGCGGGAGGTCATGCCTGATCTCTGCTTGTACAGAGATCCTGAAGAGATTGAAAAAGAAGAGCAGGCTGCTACTGAAAAGACTGTGACCAAGGAGGAGTTTCAGGGTGAATGGACTGCTCCAGCTCCCGAGTTCACTGCTACTCGGCCTGAGGTTGCAGATTGGTCTGAGGCATGCAGGTGCCCTCTGTGCCTATTCAGCAGTTTCCAGCTGAAGACTGGAGCACTCAGCCTGCCACGGAAGACTGGTCTGCAGCTCCCACTGCTCAGGCCACTGAATAAGTAGCAGCAACCACTGAATGGTCTTAAGCTGTTCTTACCTGGGCTGTTAAGTAACATGGAAATAAGGCTGATGGAAAATAAGCGTCAGTTTCTTAAAAAAAAAAAAAAAAAGTTTCCGTAAACATTCATGGCAGGTTTTTGTGTAGACATAAGTTTTAATTCATTTGGGTAAATAGCAAGGAGGGGATTGCTGTATCTTATGGTAAGACTGTGTATCTTGTGAGAAACTGCCAAACTATCCTCCAAAGCTGCTGTTCCATTTTGCATTCCTACCAGCAGTGAAGGAGAGTTCCTGTTGTTCCGCATCCTTCCCAACATTTGTTTGGTGGTGTCAGTTTCAGATTTTAGCCATTCTAATAGGTGTATAGTGGTATCTTGTTGTATTTGCAATTCCTTAAAAACATGATAATTTTGAGCATCTTTTCATATGCTTACTTGCTATCTGTATATCTTCTTTGGTGAGGAGGCTGGTCAGCTCTTTAGACAGTTTTTAAAATTGCGTTTGTTGTTGAATTTTAAGAATTCTTTGTATATTTTGGATGCAAGTCTGTCATATTCTACTTTCTATCGCTATAACAGAATACCTGAGATGGTAATTTATAAAGAAAAGAGATTTATTTAGCTCACAGTTCTGGAGGCGGGGAACTTCAAGATTGAGTAGCCACATCTGGCAAGGGCCTTGTGCTGCTTCGTAGCATGGCAGAAAAGTGAAAGGGCACGTTAGCATGTGTGAAAGAGAGGGGACAAGAGACTGTTTTGCTTTATAACGACCCGTTCTTGAAAGAACTAATTTATTCCCTTGAGAACTAATTCAGTCTCCAGGGAACTAACACAGTCTCTGGAGAAAGACAGTAATCCATCTTAATGATCTGATCATCTGTAAAGGCCCCACCTTCCAACGCTGTTTCATTGGCATTTAAATTTCAACATGAATTTTGGCATGGACAAACCACATCCAAGCTATAGCAAATCCTTTATCAGATAATGTGTTTTGCAAATATTTTCTCCCAGCCTGTGGTTTGTCTTCTCATGTACTTAATACTGTCTTTTGCTGAACAGTTTTAAATCTTAGTGAAGTTCTAGTTACCAGTTTTTTTTCTTTCATGGACCCTGCCTTTGTTGTTTTACCTAAAAACTCATTGCCAAACCCACGATCATCTAAATTTTTTCTGTGTTATTTACAAAATTTTAATCGTTTTGCAATTTATATATAGGTCTGTGTTCCATTTTGAGTTAGTTTTTGTGAAAGATGTAATGTCTGTCTAAATTAACTTTTTCAAATGCAGATGCCCAGTTGTTCCAGCACCATTTATTGGAAAGAATATCTGTTCTCCATTGGATTGCCTGTGTTTCTGTCAAAGATTAGTTGAATGTATTTGTGTGGTTCTATTTCTGGACTCTATTCTGTTTCATTAATCTATTTGTCTCTTCTTACACCAATTCCACATTGTCTTGATTGCTTTAGCTTTTTAGTAAGTCTTGGAGTTGGGTAGGTCAGTCCTTCAACTTTTGTTTTTTCTCTCATTATTGTGTTGGCTGTTCTGGGTCTTTTGTCTCGCCATATAAACTTTAGAATCAGTTCGTTGATATTCACAAAGTAACTGCTGGGATTTTCATTGGGATTCTGTTGAATATAGATCAAGGGTGAGAAATGATATCTTAACAATATTGTCTTCCTCTTCATAAACTTGAAATATGTTTTCATTTATTTAGATCCACTTTGATATCTTAAATTGGAATTTTATAGTTTTTTTCATATAGATCCAAATATTTCATTTGTTTTGGTGCTAGTGTAAATGGTTTTGTGGGGTTTTTTTTGTTTTTTTTTTTTTTTGAGACAGCATCTTGCTGTGTCACTCAGGCTGGAGTGCTGTGGTATGATCATGGCTCACTGCAGCCTCAACCTCCCAGGCTTAATTGATCCTTCTACCTCAGCCTCCTAAGTAGCTGGGACTACAGGTGTGCGCCACCATGCCTGGTTAATTTTTTTATTTTTTGCAGAGGTAGGGTTTTACTGTGTTGCTCAGGTTGGTCTCAAACTCCTGGGCTCAGGTGATCCACCTGCCTTGGCCTCCCAAAATGCTGAGATTACAGGCATGAGCCACTGTGCCTGTCCTGTGTTTTTAATTTCAAATTTTGATTGCTCATATCTGGTATATAAGTAAACAATTGAGTTTTGTATAGTTACCTTGTATTTTGAAACCTTGGTATAATTGCTTGTTAGTTCAAGGAGTTTTTAGTGATTCTCTGGGATTTTCTACATAAACAATCATGTCATTTGTGAAGAAAGACAGTTTTATTTCTTCCTTTCCAATCCGTATGTGTACCTTTTACTTTCTATCTTTTCTTATTGCATAGGGACTTCAAATACAATATTGAATAAGAGATGAGAGTGGATATCCTTGCCTTGTTCCTCATCTTAGCATTAAAGCATCTAGTTTCACATGATTAAGCATGATACTAGCTGGAAGTTTTTTGTAGATACTCTTTATCAAGTCAAGGAAATTTCCCCCTATTCCTAGTTTGCTGAATTTTTTTAATGAATGAGTATTGGATGTTTGTTAAATAAACTTAATTTTGGAATCATTTCAGATTTGCAGAAGAGTTGCAAAGATAGTGCAGAGAATTTCTATATATTCTAGTTTTCATGTTAACATAATGCATGACTATGGTACTTTTGTAAAAACTAAGAGTATATTACTATAGGTTGAGTATCCCTCATCTGAAATGCTTGGGACCAGAAGTGTTTTTGGATTGCAGAGTTTTTCGAATTCTGGAATATTTGTACTATACTTACAGTTTAGCATCCTTAATCTGAAATCTAATATGGTCCAGTGAACATTTCTTTTGTGGGTCATGTCAGTTCTCAAAAAGTTTCATATTTTGAAGTATTTTGGATTTCCAGTTTTCAGATTAGGGATATTTAACCTATATTAACTAAACTGCAGACTTTATTCAGATTTCAAGGATTTTCCACTGATAATCTGTTTTCTATTCAAGGATCCAGTCTAGGATGCCACATTGCACTTAGGAATCACAGTAAAAGGAAAAAAGTAAAATGTGATAACATTAGAGATCACATAGTCTAGTAGCTTCATAGTTGGTTCATAAATTCTGGAAGACCTCAGGCCCACCACCCACTGACAACCTTATAGGGTAGCAGGGACTCTGCCTGTGGGGTAGAGCATAAGTCCTGGTCTGGTCTCGTGGACTTCAAGAGTGGCTTCTTGCCACCATTCTGTGTTCTTTCTGCCTCCAAGATTTCCTTTTCCTTTCTTTTAAATTTTGCTTTCAGGTCAGATCTTTTTTTTTTTTTTTTTTTTTTTTTTTTTTTTTAGCAGTGTTAGTTTGCTGACATTTCTGTACCATAGAATACCATGTGAACTGATTTGAGGAGTCCACCCACAGGCAGCGTCTTTCAGCTGTAGGATTATCTGAATGGCAAAAATCTTTAGTGCTGCAGGGGACCTCAGTGAGATGGCTTTGATGGTAGTTGAATAAAAGTGCTTTGAATGAGGAGATTTATTATCCACTTGGTTTTAGATATATTGTCTCCATATATAACTTATATGCATAAATATGAATGAGAGATGATGCTTTTAATATGTTTTTTCTGTTTTTCTAGCATTGGATTAAATTGTGCTTTGGGTGCAGCTGAAATGAGACCTTTTATTGAAATAATTGGAAAATGTACAACAGCCTATGTCCTCTGTTATCCCAATGCAGGTGTGTGTTTCAAGGGGGTCACACATGGGGAGATAAAAATAACATAAGACATGGCATAGATGAGGTAAGAGATCTTGAATAAAAGATCTTGTTTTGCCGGTGTTGGTATAGTTGACACTTAATAAATGAAGAGTGTCTGGGTGCAGTGTTTCCCTGTAGACCTGAGGGAAGTTCGGCTCACCCTGAAGCTTCAGAATAGTACAGAACTTCCGGAAATGAGCTTAGTCACATAACTGACCAGAGCTTTGCCTTTGGTGACAGCACAAGCCTGGTGGACGTGACCAGAAAGATGGGTGTAAGGAAGAGAAGAGAGACCCCTTTCTCTGGTCCACTCTGTTAGTAGAAGAGCAAAAGAAGAATCTTGTGTGGTGTTACCTTTTTCTTCTCTGAAAGCTTGGACTTGCAGTTCATTATATGGAAATGTTTTGAAGATATTTGTAGACAGTTCTCAAACTGTCCCATTAAATATTGGTAATTTGTTCAGGGTTAACCAGATATCCCTGTGAATGTATTTGAGCACTGCTTAGCTACTTAGAGCAAAAAGTCATTTTCCAGCCTCTTTTCTCCAAATGTGTCATTTTAATGCACAATAAATTTTATTTCCCACCAGGAGTAAGATAACTGGAAGCAGATAATAAATAAAACAAGAAACTGGATTGTTATAAGCTGAAGTCTTACTTGGGAAAATTTATTTGAAAGGAGACTGGTTGATTTTTGTTTGTTTTTAATGGCATGTTAGTTGCGCATTAGTTCAAAGGTTATGTAGTATTCCTTCCACCCCCACCCCCAAGCGGCTATGTAACAAGAATGAATGAATTTCCCTTATGGGAAGGGGTGGGGTTGGGGGTATTCTGTTCTGCCTAACAGTGAATATTTTCTTTCAAACGGAAAAGAAATAATGGAGTTCATTTTCCTCTGTGATTTTTTTTTTTTTTTTTTAGTTTTTTGGGGGGTGTGGTATCTCTTTGTTTACTGTGTGAATATTATGTGTTTGTTTTTGCAAGTAGTCACCATTTAATATAAATATAAAATTATATAGTTATTAACATAAAGTCTTTAAAAATACAGTGTATATTTTTAAGGCAATTTGCAATAATGGTTGAATTATCCTTTCTCAGGTCTTCCCAACACCTTTGGTGACTATGATGAAACGCCTTCTATGATGGCCAAGCACCTAAAGGTCAGGGGTCCCCCTTTCACTGGCTTTTTAAGAGAGACAGAAAGATTGAATTTTAGATTTAGAGTATTTAGAAGGAGAATTTTCCCTGAAGAAATCCCAATGTACATATAACAAAGAAAAGTTTAGCTATCCCAAATTAAGGTACTAGAGGCACAGGGGAGGGCTAACTGTCAGCATCCTTATCCTCAGCTGGCACTAGTGGCTGCTGGAAAATTCTCGTTGAGGTCCACTCCAAACTAATTGAGACTTGGCTCTCCTCTGAGATGTTGCTTCCCCTGCAGCCTTCCCAAATTGTAGCTTTCTGCCCTCACACCCCTCAGACTGCTGGGTGGAGTAGATGTCCCCCTGGCCGCCCATTGTCACCTCCATGATTCTCGCTGTCTGTCATACACTGGCCATTGTTAAATCCTAGGTCATGAGACCATACTATCCACTGCTGCTTCTTATTGCACTTAGCTACTAATCCCTGGGTCTCTTTCCCCTTATTCCTTGAATTTTTAGCTTCTGTTTCACTGACATTCTCTCTTAGGCTATTTCTGACTTACTTCTTATGATTTCATTATCTTTGTAGACAATCTTTCCAATACTCTTGACTTCTCAGCTCCTTGACTTTGTCTCTTAGTTATGGTGTTCTTTATTCAGTAGCCTATGGTTAAACTCTAGTCTCATGCTGTCCCATATGTAGCCACTACCATATGGTTTTTGGAGCCCTTGAATTGTGGCCAGTGTGACAGAGGAACTGAATTGTTATTTAAACATTTTTTCAATTAATGTAAATTTAAAAATCAATACTCTATTTTGTGTTATTTGAAAATGTGTTATCCAACTCATATTCATTCAGCTCAGCATGTGGGTAAAAAAGTCATTAGATAGGCAAATCTCCCACTGAACTTTATTTTTTGTGTTTATTTTTTTGAGACAGGGTCTTGCTGTGTTGCTCAGGCTGAAGTTCAGTGGTGTGATCATAGCTTACTGTAGCTTTGAACTCCTGGGCTCAAGCGATCCTCCCACCTAGCCTCCTGAGTAGCTGGGACTATAAACACATGCCACCATGCCCAGCTAATTTTTAAATTTTTTGTAGAGATGAGGTCTTGCTATATTGCCCAGGCTGGTCTCAAATTCCTGGCCTCAAGTGATCCTCCTGCCTTTGCCTCCCAAAGTGCTGAGATTATAGGTGTGAGCCACCATACCCAGCCTCTCACTGCATTTTAAATGGTATAAAGGATTTCACAGCATCTGAACTATTCTTTGCTTTTATCCTATGTCTAGGGCATGTGATATCTTTGTATCTAGAGTTAAGTATGTTTGACTCTCTTTTTAGTATAGTCTTAGTTATTCAGGAAGTATAGACGGCTTTTATGTTGAATTGGTGGTAATGAGTTTAGAATTCAAGTGAACTTGCTGAAACTTTGTCTCTTCCTAAATGCAGGATTTTGCTATGGATGGCTTGGTCAATATAGTTGGAGGATGCTGTGGGTCAACACCAGATCATATCAGGTAATAATCACCTATAGACAATATATCTAAAACCAAGTGGATAATCAGGTAATAATCTAAATATGTACTTTTTGTTATGGGCTGAATTGTGTCCTTCCAAAATTTGTATGTTGAAGTTCTAACCCCTACTGTTTCAGAATGTGGGCTGTATTTGGAGATGAGGCCTTTAAAGAGGCGACTAAGGTAAAATGTCATACAGGTGTACCTAATCCAACATGATTGGTGTCCTTTTAAGAGCAGGACACAAATGCGCACACAGAGGCAAGCAAGACCGTGTCAAGACACAGGGAAGAATAGCTATCTACAAGACATGAAAGAGGCCTTAAAAGAAACTAACCCTGCCTGACGCCTTCAACTCAGACTTCTGTCCTCCAGATTGTGAGAAAATACATTTCTGTTATTTAAGCCACCCAATCTTTGGCACTTTGTTATGGCAGCCCTTCCTAACAAGCTCATACACCTTTATATTATGAAACATTTTAGAGAAATAATAAAATGGACCTCTATATGCCTGTCACATGGTTGCCATAATTTTCAATGTTTTTCCATTCTTATTTCATCTATCCCTCAACTTTTCCCCCTGGATTATGTAAAGTAAATCCCAGATATTATGATATTCTATCCTTAAATACCTGAGTAATATTTGAATGCTCAAAGAGGACAGCTCATATTTATTGTGGGCAAATACAGGCCTCCATTAGATTCTCTCATGGAGGGAAAAGACGATAAGACAACAGGTATCTTGAGGTCAGGAGAAGTGTCTTCACATTGCCTGGTACACAGTGGTTGCTTAATTCATGTTTTCAAGTGTGCATATGAAGGAAGGGAGCGAAACAAGCATGACCATGTGTTTAATTCCTTAGAGTTTTATAGCTTATAGGAAGATTGGAATTCAGTGAAATGGAACATTGTTTAGGACTGTTTATATTTGTTTTTTCCCTGGAGTGACTGATGATCATATTTCCAGCCAGTCATCTCACTGTTCCAAGTCTGTTTTCATGTGTGTCATATGTTCACTCTACTGAGTTACCTTGTAGTTCACTGCTTTTGTTGACTGATGTGATAGACTCTTAGTAAATAATATATATATATATTTTTTGGGATGGAGTCTTGCTCTGTTGCCCAGGCTGGAGTGCAGTGGTGCGATCTCGGCTCACTGCAAGCTCCACCTCCCAGGTTCACGCCATTCTCCTGCCTCAGCCTCCTGAGTAGCTGGGACTACAGGTGCCTGCCACCATGCCCGGCTAATTTTTTGTATTTTTAGTAGAGACGGGGTTTCACCTCGTTAGCCAGGATGGTCTTGGTCTCCTGACCTCGTGGTCCGCTCACCTTGGCCTCCCAAAGTGCTGGGATTACATGTGTGAGCCACCGCGCCTGGCCTAAATGATAATTTTAAAAATATCTTGTAAATAATTTCTGAAAGCTGTCAGTAGTTAAATATTGCTTATCTTTGGATCAGCAACTATTTCTTTTTGTTTTGTTTCCTCTTTAAAAAGAGGAGTTGTTTTAAATGTCTGTGTGTATGTTTGTGTATATCTATATTTATATCTGTCTGTATATATGTTTGCTTCTTTTACTTAGACATTCACATTCTAATTTGGGGACAGTAGAGTAGAGCAATTCTTACTGGTCCTGATAAATTTAGTGGAGTAGCCACATTTTTCTGGTTGATCAAAGACATGATTTATTAAAACTGATAATGTTAAAGGGAGTGCGAATGACTAAAACAAATCTTTAAGAGTAATTATTTTGGAGTTTTAGTGCTTTATGTCTATGTACCCTCCCTACTGTGTGTGTGCTGTAGTAAAAACAGATCCACTGGACCTAATTCTCTCCTCTCCTAGCCCCTCTGCTTGTGCCTGCTCCTTCTTGCCAAAGGTGAAATCCTTTTTCTGTTCAAATTTTGAGTAGGAAGCAAGGATTGTGTGTGTGTAGATTTGACAGAGTAAAAGACATCTGTGGATGTGGGGAAGATGGAAGGAAGTTTGCTGTTTGTATTTGTGCAAACTGTCATATAGCTCCAGGTTCATGTCTCAGAAAGTAAAAACAACACAGCCAGTGCATAGCTGATGGGCAGGCACATAAAAGGTACAGTTTATAGATTAATTTTCTGCCTTGTTGAGAAAACTAAAAGGCATGATTGTTGCTGCACACTTGGAAGTAGGTATATAATTATATGTATAGTTATGTTAAATAGACTTAATTTTATAGTTAAAATTAGTTTTGAAATTAGTTTCATTAAATATATTTTATTCTGAATTAATGGATACAATGTTTCCTCTTTCAACTCAGGGAAATTGCTGAAGCTGTGAAAAATTGTAAGCCTAGAGTTCCACCTGCCACTGCTTTTGAAGGACATATGTTACTGTCTGGTGAGTCATAAAGACCTGGTATTCCTGATTGCAGAAACCATTTGTGGAGTGTGAGTATTCTAAGTGGTAGTGATGTTTGTGCTAGGCAGCTTGCTTATTAGGTCGAAGAAGAATCCATATATTCTTGGCGCTTAAATGAATTCTAGTGAAGAACCCTTTGTTTTTCCAGGGCTGGGGCAAGATGACGTCAACTTTAGGGTAAAAGTGAAGGAAGGCCCAGGTGATTTGCCCAGGTAGAGTCCTTGGTGGGAGCTCGATGGTCCTATCTTTATTGTCCACTGTTTTGAAAACATACTCTTGGCCACAGCCTAACAATTTTAATTTTCAGGTTGATACTAGTTACTGAAAATTCCAAACTGCCAAGGTGTAATGTTTGGTGATGGCAGCAGCATCTTCCTAGAAAATTGTTTCTAAAATATTCTTGTTGTAATCTTACATTTGCCACATGTTTAGGACTTTACAAAGACTTGTGGTATGTATTTTCTCTTTGGTTCTCAACAATCCTTTGAGGTGGGTAGCCTCCCTTTTTCAGCATGAATTTTGTGTTGAAACAAGGACCGTTAGTAAACTAGGTCATCAGGCCAATTGTTAGAAAAATAACTTTAAATTTCATATTTTTGCTTCAGTATGTTCATGATGTATTAAATGGTAACTTTAAGCAGAAAAAGTATGATTTTTAGAGAACCTGCAAATAACACATATGAGGAATTATGTTCCCTAATAGCTTAGAATTTAACATCTCTCTGAATTGAAATATTTTTGTTTTGTATATTGTCCTATGAAAAGTAAAATAAATTACGAATGACAGCAAAAGTAGTGTCCACTTTTCTCACTCAGAACATAGCACAGAATTAATCCCAATCAGTGAGTGTGAAGTTGGGTTAACACATACGAACTATATTCAGGCTAGCCCTTTATTTTTTTTTTTAATACTCCAGAAGGTAGAGGATGAGATTAGGAAAAGTGGGATTCATGGTTTATGATACTCCCTCTCTGGAAATAGTGGCTTTTATCAGAGAGAGGTGTGGCAGGAAAATTTATTTATTTCATCCCTGAAACTTAGTGCATTACTTCAGCCAAGCACTAAGAGTGGAAAACATTCAGCCTTTGCCAAAATTGAAACAAGAGAGCCATTTACATAAGATTAAAAAAAATAATTTATATGTAAGAATAAAAGAATTTTTTCTTCAATTTGAATGTCGTACGCTATTGCTAAATTGCTTTAAACAATCACCTTCCATCAGATTTTAAAAGAGTGACATCAAATGTGCTGTTTAAAATTGTTCTTTTATAAATCACAAACTTGAGAGAAGTGTGATCTTTGTATCAAGTACTTCACATTCATAATAGATCATAAGTACTTTGTGTGAGATGCTTTTGGCGGAGGAGTCACACAGAAATGTCAGCATTGAAATGTTGGCTCCCTGCTTGCCTGTCCTGGGAACCTCAGGGTCAGACTAGGATCGGGCGTACCCTGCGACTAGCTTGGAAGGCTGGGGCCATGAGGATCATTGCCAGATGGAAGAGAAATCATAAGCCAGTACCGTGCATGGAAAGCGATAATCTCTATCAGTGCACCAAGGGGCCTGGAATGCTTTTGTCATGACCCAGTTTATAGTCATTATTTTTCTCTGCCTCATATCTGTTTCTTCCTCAGCTCATGCTTTGGCAAAGGTCTCAAAAGCCATTTTCTTTTATTAACAATGAAAGCAGTGATTATGGGTGCTAATTCTGTGCCTGTCAATGTTATTCAGTTTCATTTTTACAATAACAGTATAAAGCAGACACTTTACTGTCTTTGTAAACTCAGAGGCATATGGGAAGTTGCCCCAAGGTTGTTCATTCAGGTAAGTGATTTGAACCCAAGGCCGTCTGTACCCAGAACCTGCCTATAACCATCTAATGAGACTGCCTCTCCTAATACTTTAAATGTAATGAATAGAACAAAAACAGTTCAGAGCCTTTTCTGTAGTGATACTTTACACTGTATGTTTTTACTTCAGTGTGATATATCCACATGTATTATCTGATATTTGCCCCTAAATTGGCCAGTGGCAGGGGAGATGTTATTATGTTGGTGGATAAGGAAACAGGCACCAGAAGTCCACCTGGCTTACCTAGAGTCAGCTCATTAGTGATAGACCTGCCACAGTGACTCCTGTCTCTCAGGTCTCAACCTGGATCCCTGATTCAGCCTTGTTGATTATGGGTTCTAGGCCTCTGAATCAAAGAAATGAAGTAATGTTGTAAACACACCATTGGTGGGATTAAAAAAGCTTACTCCATATAGCTTTAAGCTAACATCTGAGCAGACAGCTGTGGAGCACCCCTCTTTCAATTCTAACTTTGTCCATGGTTTTTGCCTCAGCCTCTTGGTTAAATAGGGGTTGATGATTATTTTTCCTTTTTTCTCAGAGATGGTATGATTTGGTCCTTTAGGTTATTTGCAACATAAAACTCTGAAATATTTCTTCTTTTGAGAGTTATGGTTGTAAATGTAGTTGTAACAAATAGCCTTTACTGCATTTGAATCTCCCTAGAGACGACTATGGCCCTGTTTCCACATTGGATCTCCTATCTGCTCAGATGGGCTATGGTGCAGGAACTTCTCTTTCTTATTGAATACATTTGTGTCTGTCTGTCTCATGTCATCCATATGCATTTGCAGAAATTTTTCAAAATGCTTCTCCTTTTAAGGTCTAGAGCCCTTCAGGATTGGACCGTACACCAACTTTGTTAACATTGGAGAGCGCTGTAATGTTGCAGGATCAAGGAAGTTTGCTAAACTCATCATGGCAGGAAACTATGAAGTGAGCATCTTAATAAGACCCCTGAGGCATCTGCCCATGTCTTTGGCTAGACAGCATGTAAATGAAACAGCTCTCTGCCTTTGATAGTGTTATTAGCAGAGCTGCTAGAAAGTGTGAGAAGATGGTAATGTGTGTTTGCAGCAGACTGGGCTGGTGGGAGGACGAGGCTTTGAAAAATTGAAGCTGCTGTTGTCAATATTTGTTAAAAAGTACTGCATTTGGTGTATGAAGTAGGATGAGATGGGAGGGATCCAGGTTCTAGCTATTTCTATTAATCATGAAATAAGTTAAAAAATTTGAGAGGCTTTTTATTTTGTCTTCTCACAAATCCTTCTAGGGAAAGGGAAAGACAAGAAAATTCCTGTCAGTTCCTTATGATCGCATCAAACGCTGACTGTTGAGGGTATTATGGATCTTGTTAGCTGTAGACTAAAATAAACAAACAAAAGAAATAGGCCCTTGCCTTGGAAAGTTTATGTGATAGTTTTAGCCATGGTGTTTTTAAGCTCAGTCACTCTGTGGATGAGCAAAATTTAATACATACAGAGCATACCTAAGACTCCTGGATAGATTTTCCTATGAAAATATGAATTTAAAAATGGAGGAATTTTGCCTGGGCCTTAATGATAATTAACTTTATCATCCAACTTTCCTCACTTTTTTGCAACCTTTAGGAGATCTTCCAGAAACCAGTACCAGAGCTGATTTAGTTTTCATAACAAGGAAAGGACCATTTATTCCCCTTCATGGACCTGTTCATTATTACCTGATGGCATCCCTGGAGGCGTGTCTTCCTTCCCAGTCCCTCAGCTGACACATTAGCAGGGCCTGGTTGCCCAGTTTCACCACTTCCTCTGTTGGTCCTCTTCCCCTCATTCTTGCTGCTGTCCAGTGCTCCTGTATGCATCCATCATGGGCCTTCCCAGTTTGGAAATTCCACAGGGTGACTTTTTTTTGTGTATGGGATAAAACTGAAATTCCTTAGTCTGTCATTCCGTCCTCTTCACTTAGGTATTAAACTGCCCTCCCATCCTGATCTGTCATCTGAACATTCCAGGAGGCTCGCTTCTGACTCTGTGCCTTTGTTCTTGTTTGCTTCCTTCTGAAGTGCCAGTGACTCTTCCTAGCCATATAGTGTTCTTCAGTTGGCAGTGTTTCTATTATGTTTTGCTTCTTATGCCTATTCTATGGTGTCCCTTTGGTGGATTTGATAGATTTGACACTGAGAGCATTTTAGGAAGAAGCAAACAGGTGGAAGTAATAATATCTATCATTTAATAAGGTCTTTCTATATGCCAGTCACTGTGCTAAGCACTTTATGTCATTACTCATTTAATCATCACAGCCTGGTGGAGATAGGTACTGTGGTTATCCCCATTTTACAGGTGTAGAGATGGAGGCTTGGGGAGGTTAAATGACTTGCCTATTGTTGTACAGCAAGTAAATGATAGAACCCAAGTCTCCCAAGCATGTGCCCTTAACCACTCTGCTATCTCTGCCTAGTGGAAACAGTAGGAGGGGGCAGTAGAAACAGGAAGGGACAGGTGACTCTTCATTAGAGTCTAGCTCTTATGACTTAATGATCCCTTTGTGGTTTAGTGGAAAGAACATTGACCTGAAAGAAGTTCCAGTCCTATGTTCTTGCCCAACTCATACATCTTTAAACAAACCACTTCATCTCTCTGAGCTTGTTTGGGAAGGTTAGACTTTGAAGCTGTTATTCCGTGATTCTTAAGAAATAGGTCAGATATTGGCATTTCCGTTTTTGAGGTCTTTTGACCCTGTTGCTTACTATCTTATCTCCTGTCTGTTTGCTCCATCCATTCCCCATTAGTCAGCTGAAGATGCTCCCTCTCAGTTAGCTTTCTCCATTTTGGTTTGTAGAGACCTTTCCCTTTCCTGGATGTTGAGGTCATCTTGGCATTTGACCCACACATTGTATGGCAGTGCCCAGTAGTTTTTTACATGACTGTGACATGTGCCTCCATCTAGATATAAACCCTTCAAGAACCAGGATTGTGATTTACACTTCTTTTTATTCTTTATATTATTTAAATTAGTATTGATACTAGAAAACATTTTTTGATTTACTGACTTAATTAATTGATTTATTTATTTTGAGATAGAGTCTTGCTCTGTCACCCAGGCTGGAGTGCGATGGCATGATCTTGGCTCACTGCAACCTCCATCTCCCAGGTTCAAGTGATTCTCCTGCCCCAGCCTCCAGAGAAGCTGGGACTACGGGCTCATGCCACCAGGCCCAGCTAATTTTTGTATTTTTAGTAGAGATGGAGTTTTGCCATGTTGGCCAGGCTGGTCTTGAACTCTTGACCTCAAGTGATCTGCCTGTCTCGGCCTCCCAAAGTGCTGGGATTACAGGCATGAGCCACCACACCCGGTCCAGATTTACTGAATTTAAGTGTGATCCTTTTTCTCTATGTGGCCTTGGCTCACTACATGTGGTGTTTCCTTGTAGCATATGCCATAGGGTTTCATGCCTGTTCTATCACAATGAGTGCTAAAAGTTTCTATTTTTTTTTTCCTTGGGCTAAAAAAAAATCAAGACAATATCAGCATCTACTATTGATTTTATCCTTGCTTATTTCATTACACTATGAAGTGTACAGTGAAAACTTAAATAAACAAAAAGTCTCTGCCTTGTTACTTAGAAGGTATTATGGAACATGTATATTTTGCCCAGCATTGTTCAGAATGAGAAGTATATAAGACTTTTTGGAACACTTATCCTACAAAATATTCCTTAGACGATCATAAGTGGGAAATGCTGTATTCTGTTTTGGGAAGGTTGCAGTGTGTAATAGTGCATTAAATAATTTGAAAAGCCTTCCAGTGTTATAAAAACCTGCTGAAATTTATTTAAGTCACATTTCTTTTCATGTAACTTCTATTAACAGCCTGCAATGAATACTTTCGGCAGATACTGAAGAGTTATATAGTTTTTGGCAAATACTGAAGAGTTATATCATTTTGGATGGTTTCTCTAAGGACTTTTTTTGGAGGAGATGGGGCTTGAGCTGGGTCTTAAACAATGTGGAAGGGAAAGGGATTGCGTTCCAAGCAGAGGGAACAACGTGATCTGCAGCACAGAGGTGGGAACAGATTTGGCTGGGTGAAGGCTCCAGTCGGGGTGGAATGGGAAGTTCAGCTGGGTAAGAAGATGGGGCCAGCTCAGAGGGCCTTGACTGCCATGCTGAGGGATTTAGAATCTTTATGGTAGGAAAACAGCTTTGGTGGATTCTAAGCAGTGAGATGATGTGATGGAAGAGATGTGTAAGAAAGGTTAATTTGTGATGAGTGATGGGTGGACAGCAGGCCCGGAGTCAGGGAGTCTGGCGAGGTAGTCTGTGTAATTTGAAGGATTGCTGGGAAGGGTAAGGAATTACCTCATTAGCCTTTTCTCCTAGTAACTGTCTCCTAATGCTGCTTCCTCTCTCATTCTTCCTTCAGGAAGCCTTGTGTGTTGCCAAAGTGCAGGTGGAAATGGGAGCCCAGGTGTTGGATGTCAACATGGATGATGGCATGCTAGATGGTCCAAGTGCAATGACCAGATTTTGCAACTTAATTGCTTCCGAGCCAGACATCGCAAAGGTTATACAAAGTTTATGTTTATCAGGGGGATTTACTTGTCTCACTTTGACACTCATTTAACCGTGCCAGTTGTCCCATTAATCTGTGAACTCAAGAACTGGTTTTCTGTTTCTCAACATCGAAAACAGGGTAGTTTCTGATTGTCAGCTTTCTCAGATACTGATAACCTTTCCAGATAAAGCAGATCTTGGAGACAGCTGTGGCTTCAGCCTGGCTGTTTCCAAGGCTTCTGGGATTGTTCATGAGAATTGAGTCTCCTCAGATGTCTGGACAGACTAACAACCCACTTTCCATGTATGTGAAGGAAAATCATTGGCTCTATTTCTACCATAGGCAAGGGAACTCAGTGAATTCTTTCTTATAACAGGAAGGAGAGAACTTTTAGGCTTATCAGATTAAGACAAAAATATAAAACAAGATTAAATCAAGAGATTATGTCAGCTTTTACATTTGTTCTTCAAAAGGTGAAAATTGATTTTCGTGTCAGTCTTTTAAACATTTTTAAATGAGTTCTAAAATTAAAAAAAAAATCTTACCTTGTTTTTCTGCCGTTAAGTTTGTTATGAGAAGTGATTTTTTTTTTTCCCCTCCTGAGGCAGGGTTTTGCTCTGTGGCCCAGGCTGGAGTGCAGTGGTGCAATCATAGCTCACTGCAACCTCAGGCTTCTCCCACTTCGGCTTCCTGAGTAGCTGGGACCACAGGCACGCATCATTTAAAAAAAATTTTTAGTAGAGAGGTCGGGTCTTGCTGTGTTCACAGGCTGATTTTGAACTCCTAGTCTCAATCAATCCTCCTGCCTTGGCTTCCCAAAGTGGTAGGATTGCAGTTGTGAGCCATTGTGCCTGGCAGGAAGTGATTTTTGAAGTTCTTCTTTTTTAAAGAAACTTCCTAGTGCTCTAAGAGTTGCATTTTTCAGGTTGAGCTCTTGGTTTTTTTATTAGGCTTCAGCAGATTCAGCAGATTTAAGTTAGAGTCTATGGTAGGTACTGAATTACATTTGTCCATCTTTCATTTGTGTCTTAAAACTCTTTACTAAAAAGTCTTGTCATTCCTCTGGGAGTAAATATTTTGAGAATTTAAGGTACAAAGAAGCAAGACAACTTGTTCAAAGTTAGTTAGAATCAGAGGTATAGCCAATTGTTTATCAGCTTAGTATTGGGAAGAGGGTAGACTCGCCTTGTAAGGCCCAATCAAGTCAATGGACTATTGACCCTACTTTCCTCATCTCTAAAATGGGATCATCAAACCCCCTTTGTGAATTGTAAAGATGCAAGTGCTTTATCAACTGTGAAGGACCCCATGTAACTCAATACATTATTAGTGTTCTGATTGCTACAGTAATTTCTTATCTTTCTTGGTTTTGCCCTACTACCACAACTTATTGGAGGCCAAATTTCTACCCAGGTGGTAAAGCATAAAATCATTTTACCAGCACCTTTTCACCAGTAGGGTTGGGACACCAAACTATCAGCAAGCAAATACAAGCCGATACACTGGCCTGGTGTTGTCATTGCATTTGACCCTTTCCTTAGCAAACCTCTCATTACTAGCATACTAAGAAAAAGCAAAACTGGTAGCGTGCCTTTTCTTTTTTGCTCGTTTGGTGGCGTGGCTTAGGAAATTGCTGACTACTCATTCTTCAGTCCTCAGTTGAAATGTTTCCTGCCCTGGGAAGCTTTCCCTGGATTTTCCTGCCCCATTCTCCATGCTTCATAGACTGGGTGCCCCTGAAATATGCTTCCATGGCAGTCTGTGCTTCTCTTATGCTTTTAGCATTTACTACACTTTATGTCATTACTTGTTTAATTATTTATCTTTATAAACTCAGTGGAGCCAGAGACCTGGCTTTCTTACTGTTTTCCCTGTATGGGCCTAATATGGTAGTCACTTAATTATTTATTGAATGGCTTAATTGAATAATGTGGCCTATGCTGGGAGCTGTGGTATGCACCTGTAGTTGCAGCTACTCAGGAGGCTGAGTGTGGAGGGTCCCTGGAGCTCAGGAGTTCAAGACCAGCCAAGGCAACATAGTTAGACCCTGTCTTTAAAAATATAAAAATAATGCAGCCTAGATCTGTTGCCTCATTTCATTTCTTTGTATCAATCTAATTCTTCAAGCCCTTCCTTTCATCTTTCCTGGAACAGAGGTATGAATTAAAAGGAACCTATTCTCAACTGTGCATTTCAGTTTTGTCCTTTATTTTAGTTATATGCATTTGTTGATAATTAGATCTGCTTTTCCTTTCTAATATTAAAACTCTTTTTTTGTTTTTTTTCAGTAAAGAACTTGATTTTCTAAAGGGAAGGTTGAATTTGAATAACTTGGCTAGAGGGCTGTCCCCAAAGGACACAAGGCTAAACCTTAATCCCTGAGTCAGATCAGGGATGTCTGAATCCTAGCTGAGGTGTTTGCCTCGGGGCTTAGGCGCTTGAAAGTGTACTGCACTGAAGCCAGTGAACTGATCACACTGATTTCATTCTGATGTTCAGCTGTGATCTTTGAGTTGTAAATCCCTGGCCCATGCATGGAGTATCTTGTAAGACTGAAATTACTCCAAGTATTTTGGGCTTAAAGAACAAGTATATTAAAATTCTATCTCTGACATACTACTATTTTTTGTTTATTGTTTTGCTAAAGAAGAAATAGGGAATACTTTGGAGCCTTTGAAAAGTAATTTATAGTGACCTGTGGCCTCTGTGTGATTTTCTTGCCTTTCTGATCTCAGGTACCTTTGTGCATCGACTCCTCCAATTTTGCTGTGATTGAAGCTGGGTTAAAGTGCTGCCAAGGGAAGTGCATTGTCAATAGCATTAGTCTGAAGGAAGGAGAGGACGACTTCTTGGAGAAGGCCAGGAAGATTAAAAAGTATGGAGCTGCTATGGTGGTCATGGCTTTTGATGAAGAAGGACAGGTGAGTGGTTTCTTTTGGCCTAATCCATTGTGTTTCCCAGGTTAGATAGTGGTGGGAGAAAATGCAAGTCTGAAACAGCTACATATATACATACACATATACATTTATCTCTTTCCATATACATTCATGTACATATATGTACACGTATCTGTATACAGTCATACATGATGTGTTACTTAACAATGGAGATATGGTCTGAGAAATACATCATTAGGTGATTTTGTCATTGTGCCAACGTCATAGAGTGTATTTACACCAACCTAGATGGGATAGCCTACTACACACATAGGCTAGATGGTATATATAGTGTGTTGTTTCTATGTTATAAGCTAATATAGCATGTTACCGTACTGAATACTATAGGCAACTATAACACAATGATATGTATTTGTGTATCTAAACGTATCGAAACAGAAAATTTACAGTAAAAATATGGTATTATAACCTTACGGAACCATTGTTGTTTATATGATCCATCATTGACTTAAGTGTCCTTATGTGGTCAATGACTGTATATGAAAATCTGATATATAGTAAAGTCTTTGCATTCATGGAGAAAGGTTGAAGTATTCAATAAATGCTGTTGGGATGACTGGCTGTGCATTTGGAAGAAAATAAACTTAGATTCCCATTTCCAACCATATACTAAAATAAAGTTAGCTATTTGCAACATGAATAATAGCAGTGGGTGAATATTCCTAATACGCAAAGAGTTTATATAAGTCAGAAAGCAAAACACCCCAGTCAACCCAGTAGGAAAATGGACAAAGGAAATAACAATTTATATAAAAAGAACAAATAGCCAATAAACTTATGAGAAGATACTAAGTTTTGTAAACATTAAAGAAATAAAAAGTAAAGAAATAATGAGATTAGTTTCCTTTATCAAATAGAAGAAAAAATTAGAAGATTGATAAATGGCAGTCTTCATAATAGCTCTGCCATAGAATCAGGGTGGGGCACATGGGAAGCTTCAAATATAATGATCGTTCATCTCTGTGATACACTGATTATTGTCATGTTTTATACTTCACATAACTTTGTATGAATATTTTGGTACCTATTTAAAACCACTAAAAAATCTATTTCTTATGATTAAGCCCTTCCTGGGAATCTAGTAATAAGGTTGAGTGTATAAGGATATGTGTTCACATTTATTGTAGCATTGTGGTAGCAAAAAGCTGAGAACACTAAATGTCCATTACTAGGGCAATGCTTAAACTTGGTCCTTACTACATAGAATACTGTGCAGCAGTTAAAAAGAATCAGGAGATGGAACCATGTCTTCAGTATATTGAAAAATGAAAAAAATGAGTGACATGATCCCAACTTAATATAAAAGTACTTACATTTACATATGTTTGTCTGCATAAGCAGAGAAAAGAATTTGATGGTTGTCAACTGGGTGGGGTAGGGATGATCTGAGATGGGGGTGGTCTCAAATGGGGACATACTGACAATGAACAAGTAGTAGGATTGTATGTACTTTTTCTTTCTGTCTTTGTTTTGTATTTTTGGAATGAAATTGTTTTTAAATGCATTTTTTGTATGAAAGATACATTTTCTTCATTGTGAAAAAATTCAAATCATCCAGAAGACTGCAAAAGAGAGATAGTTTTGATCATTAACATATATTGAACCTTAATTCACACCAAGCAAGTACACAACACACATTAAATCAGTTCTTCTTCCAAGCATATAAACTGTGGGTATGTATTCTTGTTATTTTTGAATGTCTTGTGAGGAAACTAAAGCACAGAGATGTCCCAGGACTTGGCGGTTGTCACACAGCTAACAGTTTGCAGTGCTGGGATTCAGGCCTAGGAGATCTGGTTTCATTCATCAGGGCCTGTGCTAAATGGTCGAGTGAAGAGGCTGTCAGGGAAGAGTTGGCCTGTTCAGAACAGGTGGTCTTATAAGACCCCTCTGAGGAGGCAACATTTGAAAACCAGAATAAAATGAGAGAGGAAGCCACATGGCCACGTGGAGAAAGAGCAAACGAGGTTTCAGCAAATGAAAAGTTTTGTATAAACGAGATTATACCTGGTATTCTGTAACTCTTTTCCCCTGCTCAACATAATGTTGGCATTTTCCCATATTAGTGGATTAAAACTCCATGTTTTCTGGTTGCATTGCATTCCAGTATGTTTTACTTACTATTATTGAATGAAATTGTGTTTCTAATTTTTTAGTAGCATGAACAGTTCAGTGGCCAATGAATATCCTAATTCATGCAGCGATTTCCCCTTCTAGAATGATTTTTTTAGAGTCAGTTCATTGGAGTGGGATTGCTATGTCAAAGAGTGTACACATTTACTATTTTGAGGCACGTTGTTAAAATTGTCCATCTGAAAAGTTGTTATCATCCACTACAAGTTTAGTGTGGTGTGGGACCTTTTGATAATTGTATTTTCTGCAAATAGTTAGACAAATAGTTCCGTAAACAAAAAGAAAAAAGCCTTCAGCCTTCTAGATCCTGAGGCACCCACGTTCAGCTTTTTAAGCTGATTCTTGTAGCATCTACCTCTTTATCTTCAAATTCCAGTTTTAGTTTTTATTTATTGACTTCCTACAGTGATTAAAGATTTTTTAGCTTTTCACCATCCACTGCCCTGACTCTGTACAGCTTTACTTTTATCCTTCCCAATATAGTTCATTTTAGCTATAATCGTTTTCAGTGCTTACATTATTAAACAGTGTAAAAGCTGAGCCATGCAGTAGTATACTGTGATTGCTTATCCTTTCTCACTCTTTATTTGTTTTCTATGAAGGTAATATTTATCTTTTTGTTTGCATTGTTTTCTATGTATTTCGCCTTCAGATTGTCCCCTAGTTGTATAAATCTCAAGTATCCAATGTAGCCAGACACATTAAGAGGACTGTCATACTACTTTTTTGAAGAATTCTCCCTCCAAGTCTTCTGACATGAGCTGGAAGTAGGCCAGCTGCACAGCTGTGACTGCTAGCTGTCCCTTACCTTCCTCCTGGGGTTCCATTGCCTTTCTCTTAGGTTTTTAGAACTCATAATTTCCAAATTCTTGGTTAATCTTTTTTTTTTTTTTAGTCATTTGGTAGAGTGCATTCTCTGATAGCTTCTTGTGAAAGAAAACATGGCAGTAAATATTTTTGAAACCTTACGTGTCAGAAAATGGCCGTATTCTACTTTTACACTTAATTGGCAGTTGCATGGGCATAGGAGTACAAACTTGAAGTTGTTCTGTGTTTTGAAAGTACTGCTCCATTGTCTTCTCATTCCCACTGGTATTAGTAAGAAGTCCAGTGCTATTCTAACTCTTTTTTTTTTTTTTTTTGAGACGGAGTCTCGCTGTCGCCCAGGCTGGAGTGCGGTGGCGCGATCTTGGCTCACTGCAGGCTCCGCCCCCCGGGGTTCACGCCATTCTCCTGCCTCAGCCTCCCGAGTAGCTGGGACTACAGGCACCCGCCACCTTACTCGGCTAATTTTTTGTATTTTTAGTAGAGACGGGGTTTCACCGTGTCAGCCAGGATGGTCTCGATCTCCTGACCTCGTGATCCGCCCGCCTCGGCTTCCCAAAGTGCTGGGATTACAGGCGTGAGCCACCGCGCCCGGCTGTGCTATTCTAACTCTTGATTATTTTTGTGAAACTTGTTTTTCTATTCTCTGGAGGCTTTGGGAATCTTTTGTGTTCACCGTGTTCTGAACTCCCGCGATGATGAGCCATCCATTATGCTGGCACTCAGTAGGCCTTTCATTTGTGAAACTCACAGCTGCAGTGGTAGGAAGTGTCCTTGAGTTGTTTTCTTTTCTTTTTTGGTACATATATTATTGAGATATTGAATGTTTTGGACAGGTTGCCTAATTTTCTTATATTTCTTTCCTGTTTTCCAACTCTGGTGTTTTGCTCTGCATCGGGTGAGATTTTCATATCTACATTTATCCTCCAAACCGTCTATTGAGTTTTATTTCTTCTTTTTCCTGAAGGTCTTTTTTTGTTATCTGAATGCTCCTTTTAAAAATATATATAGCAACTGTTACTTTTTAATGAAGCAAATATCTTCAAATATATCCTGAGCACTTAGTATGTGCCAGGCCCTATCCCTATTCTAATCTCTGAGGAGACAACGGAGAATAAAACCTAGTCCCTGTCCTTGCACGATTTATATTCTTAGGGACAAAGGGAATAACAAATTTAAAAAAAAAAGATGTATATATATATATATAATTGGCCAGGTGCAGTGGCTCACACCTGTAATCCCAACACTTTGGGAGGCTGAGGCAGGCAGATCACCTGAGTTCAGGAGTTCGAGAGTAGCCTGGCCAACATGGTGAAACCCCGTCTCTACTAAAAATACAAAAATTAGCCAGATGTGGTAATGTATGCCTGTAATCCTAGCTACTGGGGAGGCTGAGGCATGAGAATTGCTTGAACCCAGGAGACTGAGGTTGCAGTGAGGTGAGATTGCACCACTGCACTCCAGCCTGAGTGACAGAGTGAGACTCTGTCTCCAAAAAAAAAAAAAAAAAAGTGTGTGTGTATATACACACGTTGAATGGTGTTGAATACGGTAAAGGGAAAAGAGGATTTGATCCCCCCTCAGCATGGAGGTGGGGGAATGTTATTTTATGTAGGATAGTTTGGGAAGGCCTCATGGATGATGTGACATTTTAGCAGAAGCCTAGGTGAGCCATGTGAAAATGTAGGGGAAGAGTGTTCTTTGCAGAGGGAATCTTGAGGTAGATAGATGCTTGTCCTGTTTGAAAACCAACAGGGAAGCCAGAGTAGCTGGAGCAGAGGGGAGAGGAGGAGATTGGGAAGATACAAGGTTGGAAAGGTGGCAGATCAAATCACATAGGGCCTTGGAGGCCATTCCTAACACTTTTGGTTAACATTGTTACTCAGAGTGAGTGGGGACACCACTGAAAACTTTTGAACAGAGGAGCGAATATGATCTGACTTATGTTTAAACCTCTCTGGTTCTTTGTGGAGAATGGTCTGTTAGGGCCAAAGCAGAAATGTTAGAGTTTATTGCTGTAATTCAGATGAGATATGGTGATGGTTAGGGCCATGGTGAAAGCAAAAGAGGATGTTAAAAGTCATCTGTTTCTACATATATTTTTAACATAGAGCCAATAGGATTTGTATTCACATTGGGTATAGGTTGTGAAAGAAAGAGGAGTCAGGGATAACTTTAGAATCTGTTGGCTTGGGCAATTGAAAGGAAGGAGCTACTGAGGTAAGAAAGACTGAGAAGCAGGTTTGGGATGGGGTAAGGAGAAGTTTGGGTTTGGACTTAGTATGTGGTGGGTATGTCGAGTGTGCAGTTGTGCAAATGAGTGGATTTCATGGGCAAAGTCTGGCTTGAAGATAGGATTCCTTTTTTTGGGAATTATTTGTACATGCTATTTAAAATAGTGAGACTGGCTGAGCTCACCAAAGGAATGACTGTAGAGAAGTCCTAGGACTAAGTGAGTCTTAGAGCCACAGTGCTTAGGGCACTGGGGAGAAGAGGAAACACCATCAGAAGGATATGAGAAGGAGCAGCCTGTATGGTAGGAGGGGAGTCAGAAGAGAGAGTTCCCTTGGAAGCCAAGTGAAGAACAATCATCAAAGAAAAGGGCATGTTCAGCTGTTTAAAGAGTTGTAGATAGATCAAGTGGGATGAGACCAAGAGTTTACCGTTGGATTTAGAAATGGGGTCATTTGTGATCTTGCTGTACTGTTTCCAAGGAGATGAAAACTTTATTGGAGTGGGTTCAAGAGAGAATAGGAGAAGAATAGAAGCAGCAGTATAGGCAACTTTTTACAGTTCTGCCATAAGGGGAGCAAAAAAATAGGGTGGAAACCAGGGGGGAAATACGAGGTTCAGAAAGGGCGTGTGTGTGTGTGTGTGTGTGTGTGTGTGTGTGTGTGTGTGTGTGTGTGTAGATGCTGTGACAACATGTTTTTGTAAGCTAATGAGAATGATCTGGGAGAGAGAGGGAGGAACTGATGCAGGAGATAAAGGATACATTTGCCAGAGCCATGACCTTGTGAGTTGAGAGAGATGGCAGTCACTGTGTGAGTGGAGGGGTGGCTTTAGATCAGTAGCTGGACAGTTTGCTCAAAGTACAAAAGAGAAGGCAGAGTAAAGAGTGCAGATCTGCAGGCATGCTGGTTGATGTGCTGGCGGGAGTCTATAATTGCTTCTGTTTTCTCAGTGAAGTTGGAAGCAAGGTCAACTCAGAGTGAGAATGGAATGTTGTGCCTTAGGGATCTGTGGTGCTTAACTAGGAGTGCAAAGCAGACTCACTCTGACAGGGAAGGCAGTCACTGCTGGAGCTTTTGAAAAATCGTACACACTCCTGGACTTCAGCCCTTGAGTTTTGACTCATTTGGTCTGGGATGAGGCCTGGCTTTAGACATTTTAAAGCCTTGGAGGTGATTCTCATGTATCTTTTGGTTGAAAACCACCAGCAGAGGTTATTTCGTTTAGTCTTCAGAGTGACCACCGAGGTGGCGGCCATTGCATTTTACAGTGGACCAGTGTCATATCTAGGACATGGTGGAACCAAGTTTTTACCTTTGGTCTTCCTCATTTGAAGACTGGTGTATGTTTCCACATCCTGTGTTTACTCTGTGCTTTGTTTATTGGCACTGCTTAGTGCTTGGTCTTGTCTAAGGATAGGTTTTCCCAATTTAGACTTAACTGTGACCACAAATTAAAAGCAAATGTAGGAAAAAAAATTAACTTGCTAGTTATGAAAGATATACAAATTAGAGCAGCATTAAGGTAATGTTTTATCCCTACTAAATTAGTAAAGTAAAAAATGGTCAAGGTCTGTGTAGATACAGCAGTGATAAAACTGAAGGCTCATTTGTTGCAGAGTGTAGTATAAACTGGTACAGTCCTATTGAAAGAGAATATAATGCCTGTCAAGAGACAAAAAATTGTTTATACCCCTTGAGTTCATAATCTTATTTCTGGGAAATTATTCCAACAAAAGAATTCAACAGCATAAGGATACTGTATATGCCGAGATTTTACACCAACATTATTGAAAATGTAACAGCCCAAGTGCCCAACTGAAGAGAAATAGATAGGTAACATAATTTTACTGGACTATTCTCCAGAGTATTTAAATATTATGCAGATTATGGAGCAGCATGTATGCTCACTGTCAAATTGTCATAAATATTGAAAATTATAAAAAGCAAAGCAAAAATCCTGTATACTTTCAAAGTTAAGAAGCCAGCAATACAGGTATTTTTATATAAAGGCATGTTTTCTGTTGATTGAGTTCTCATAATGCTATTGGATGTAGCAATCAGTTAAGAACCGGGATTTGCTTTGCTTGGATTGACACCACTGATTATAGGGGAAAAAAACAACTCCCTCAAATGGGAAACTACTGTTGCGACTAAGCAAGGCACACCAGCTTTGTTTCAATATCTGGCTGCTGTGTTTGAGTGTTTGGTTAATGTCTGTGATCCATGTTGCAAACACAACTGCAAGGTCAAGACCAGATATGACAGGAGGCTGGGCCTGAGACTTCTGGATTGAAAGGCAACAAGAAAACATTTCTATGTTTTTTGTTGTTGCTAATAGTTTTGACCAACTGTTATTCTTAACTCTACATAACAAGATACAGGACACCTTTATTATTGAAATTTCTATGGGACAAGTATACTGACTCTAGATTTAGTTCTCTTTTTCTAAATGAAATGATTTTTAATTTTTTTCATATAATCCTTAGGTTCACAAAAATGACTTTGTATGACAATTTTTGATAACGTGAAGTGTCTTAGAAATATAATTATCACATAATAGCAGAATAGTCTATATTAGTTTTTGTTTGCACATGTGTAAACTATATAAAAGAATAATCAATATATGCAACACATTTTCCTGTTTTTTTCATTTTCTTGTTTTAAAATGATTTGAAAATAAATTTCTAATTATGGAGAACCATTGGATCTTGATTAATATCTAATTAATCCTAACCTGGAAAATAACAAGGAATTGGTATCTTGCCAGTGTTTAGATTTGTCATTGAGGAACATGGCGTGTCTTTCAATTACTCATTCAATGGAGTTTTGTAATTATCCCTAAATAGGCAATCTCTAGATCATTCCTGTGTGTTTTGTTTGTTGTTTTTATTGTAATTGGCTTATTTTTTCTTTGGTAAATTTTTTCCCTTTGGTATTGATTTTTAGATTTTTTCCCTTGGAAACTTCCTTTTCTTCAGTGTTTCCCTTCCTACTTGTCAGTGTCTCTCTTGAAAGGCACAAACATCCGTTTCCATCACTTCTGTTTTTTTTGTTTTTGTTTTTGTTTTTGTTTTTTTGAGATCAAGTCTCACTCTGTCGTGCAGGCTGAAGTGCGGTGGCGTGATCTCAGCTCACTGCAACCTCCGCTTCCCGGGTTCAAGCAATTCTCCTGACTCAGCCTCCCAAGTAGCTGGGACTACAGGCCTTTGCCACCACAACTGGCTAATTTTTGTATTTTTAGTAGAGATGGGTTTTCACCATGTTGGCCAGGCTGTTCTCGAACTCCTGACCTCAGGTGATCCACCTGCCTCAGCCTCCCAAAGTGCTGGGATTACAGATGTGAGCCATTGTACTGGGCCGGGCCACTTCTTTTTTTAATTACAGCCCCAGGATGGGCCTCTGCTTCCTCCAGGGTTCTCTCGCCCATCTTCAACTACTTCAGTTCGATTTTAAAACTTTAACTCACCTCTGAAGTTAGCCCTGTTCGATCTCTGCTCCTTGTCAGACTACATTAAAGAATCTAGATGTCTTCTACACATTGTCCTTCTCTTCCTCACAGTGTCTGCCTTGATGACCAAATCAAAAATTGTTTTATTGCATTACTGCCTGAGTGTGTGATATTTTAGCAGAATCTGAGCCATGAGCTTCTTAAGTAAAGCCTTCTACTCACTGGTCACAGTCTAGCTTCTCTATGGCTTAAGAGTAAACCTGTTTGATAAAGCTATAAATGGCATTTATTCCTTCCTTCTTGCTGCTTAGAATCTCACTGAGTTTTTCTTCTACTCCAACTGAAGAAGGTGCCACATCTCACCTGTTGGTGGTTCTCACCTGGCTTTATATTAGCATCACTAAGGGGCTTTTACAAAACACTTGCTGAGACCCCATCTCCAGATTCTGATTTAACTGGTTCAGGGTGAGGTGTTACTATTATAAAAAACAAGCAAACAGAAATCCCTCCAGGGTATTGTAATGTGCAACCAGAGTTGAAAGCCCTTCCTGATGGAGTAAAGCTGCCATTCCGTTGTTTTACTGAACTTCTATTCTGGATCTCTGAAATCCACCAGCACGATTGAGGCTTTATTAGTGTGTCTGTCCCACAGCCCTGGTGAGGAGTAAGACAGAAGCTTGGTGAACCTTACGTGATATGAGATATGACCTGCTCCTGACAAAGGCCTGTACACCAATGCCGTGTTCACTCTGAGAGTCATTGTTTAATCAAGTGACAGAGGTTGAGTATCTGTTAATGTGGCACAGATACTGTGCTAGACGCCATGAGAACAATTTGACAAGGGCTTCATCCTTATGGAGGTTAGAGTTGATGACTCTGTTTTGGTTCTAGAAATGAATTCCTGTCCTGTGAGGATGCACCTGCTTGTCCCACAAGCAGGGCTGTCTTTGGTATACAGCTGGGCCCTACACCCTACTCTCCTGTGGGTAACATACTGTTCACTTCAACCTGCCCTGCTTGGCCAGATAATATTCATGGCTCAGATGAGGAATGACCAGGACCTTGACTTCTTCATCTACCAACCAGACTAGGTTACTCAGTAATACTAGTAGCATTGGTCGCCCCTGTGCCTTCTCTCTTAGTGAGCTTAGATGAGCCATGAACCTAGAGCCTAGAACTCTATTGGGCTGTCTGGTGAAGGGTAGACTTTAAAAGTTCAAGCCTAAAGGCAGCTGCAAATGGGCTGTTTCTGACCAGTTTTTTCTGACATACATCTCAGTCTCAACCTTAACCTTTTCACTCTAACTGAAGGCAGAGGAAGTAAGCATTGAGAAAATTCCATTAAGGAAGACGAAAGCTCGCCACCTTCCCTAAAGCCTGGGTGCAGTGAGGCCACAGAGACCACTTCCTGTCTCCCTTTCCCTGGGCCATTTTGTCTGCTAAGTCCTGGAGGCACTTCCCTCCCAAGTAGAGGTGAAGTCTCACCCCACCAGCTGCAGAGAGCGATTAAAGAGACCAAAGAAAACAGTTGAAAAAGAATACCAAAGTAGTAAGTGATCAAAAGGCTAGATCTAAGAGAGAGTTCTTTTCATAATTCCCCTACTCCTCATTTCTGTTGTCTAGGGCCTCACTAGATGCACTTGACCTATGTCCGTGTCCCTACCCCCTCATCTCCACAGAAGTCTGCAATATAGATTGCAGTAGGGTTGGCCATTTTTCAAGAACATTTTTCGCGTTCATTGAGAATTGACCTTCAGAATTGTGACTTATTTTTTCTTATCTCTGGAGTGATAGCAAGTAATCATTTTTTAAGAGTAGATTTGATTTTTCATACAACCAGAAATAATTCAGGATGTAATTTGGTGAATACCCTGTGTTGAGGTTGTAAATTTGATCTGAAGACAGTTTCCATGACAAAGTTCAGAAATACTTTGAGTAAAAGCAGCATTCATACATAATGTTGAGCACCTACTTTGACAGGCACTGCTCAGGGCACTGGGGATAAAGCAAGACTGGCATTCTATCTAGGGGAGAGGAGTTTACCAATTAACAAGTAATAAAACAACGAAAAATACTAAAGATGTTGCCAAAATAATACAATTTCTGGAAAGAAATACTCCGAAGAAGAATGGAGGAGGTGGGGAAGGGTGGAAGTGGCTGGTTTAGAGAGGGTGATTTAAGGTAGGCTCTGAAAAGGGGGCACTTGGGCAGAAGCCTTAGTTCTGTGAAGCACAAAGCCATGTCATGGTATGTTCTGGTAGTGGCAGCAATAAATGAAAGTTGCTGAGGGAGGAACAAGCTTGACGGGTTTCAAAAACACCAAAGGAGCAATGTAGGAGGTGCGGAGTAGAGGAGAGGGCAAATGGTAGGAGATGAGATTGGAGATGGAGGCTGAGATTCTGAGGCTTTTGGGAAGCAGCTGGGGGATGAGCCTTGCCGGAGTTAGTGTTTTGCCTTTTAGGGACATTATTTTGAAGGTAAAGACTAATTTGTATTTATGACTTAAGACACATGTTAGGCCAGTGTTAAAATGGGTGAAGGTGAGGAATAAATGCATATCCTTGAATATGCTTAGAATGTTTTTGCAAGAAGATCTGAGAAAGCAATGGCAGTGTTTCCTGGGTGATAGGTTGTGACACTGCTGTCAGGTCAAGAGAGGAAGGGGCACTTACATGTTAATCTCTTCTTTAGTAGTATTTGATTTTTTATCATATGCATGTATTTTTAGAAGCTTTTTCATAATATACCATATGTGTGTATATGTTTAAGGTTTGATTTTTTGCAGAAAGAGTATAGCTGCTGTGTTTGTGAAAACACAAAGAGATCTTTAAACCAGTCTCTCCTCTGAGATAATTTGATAAGTGATCGGAAGCTGCTTGGCATTTAGATTTCTGTGAAATCCAAGCATTGACACTTGAGTGTTTTCAGTGAGTGAAATGTGCTCTAATGTATAACACTTAATATTTTAATATTAATATTTTATTAAAATAAAATAACAGGTATTTAATATTAATATTTTAATAGATAATTTTTCTATTTCAAACTACATCTTTTGCTCTTTTCCCTAGGCAACAGAAACAGACACAAAAATCAGAGTGTGCACCCGGGCCTACCATCTGCTTGTGAAAAAACTGGGCTTTAATCCAAATGACATTATTTTTGACCCTAATATCCTAACCATTGGGACTGGAATGGAGGAACACAACTTGTATGCCATTAATTTTATCCATGCAACAAAAGTCATTAAAGTAAGTGTAGGCATGTTCTCTCCCAAGTCATGGCTCAAATTTGTCCCATGGGTCTAATGAATGGTTAGAACTAACTTATATATTTATTGGCTGATGAAATGTTAACATTCTTAGTTAGTAAATTGTTTTTCTGAAATGTAGGAGACCTTATTTTTTTTCTTTAGTAGAGTTTTAACTTGTGTAACAAACAGACTGGAGAACATAACAGAGCCTGATGAACTCGCTTGAACCCAGGAGGGTGGAGGTTGCATTGAGCTGGGATCACGCCAGTGCGCTCTAGCCTGGGCGACAGAGTGAGGCCCTGCCTTGAACAAAATGATGCAAAACAAAAAAACCACAGAACCTGATAAATAATTAATTATGAAGCATATAAGAGCCTTCACTTAGGTCCCAAAATAGAGCATAGCTAGCGCCCCCGTCTGTCTCTCCTTTTCCAGTTACACCTCATTCTCAATTTTATAAAGTAGCTATTGTCCTGAGTTTTATGACGCTACTCTGTTGCTTTTCTTCATAAATTTATTGCTTATATATGTAGATTTGATTTGCATCATCTATGGATTTTATATTTGCAAATTCATGTACTTACTGAAATTTATTTGTGACCCCAAAATCAATACTCAACGTCACTTCTGCAGTTGTTCAGACTTACCCATATGCAGAGTGGTGGAAAATTTGAGTGGCCCAACCCATATTATTCCCAAAGAGGGCAAACATGGCAGTGACCTACCTTCTTATTTCAGCTCTCATCCTGTACACAGATGTCCTTTTTGCAGTCTAATGCCATGTTTTTCACACTTTTATGCGTTTTGTTGGTGAGGTCACTTTTTAAAATGGCCCCATACTAGTGCTGTCTAGTGTTCTAAGCACAAGAAGGCTGTGATGTTCCTTAGGGAGGAAATATGTGTGTTAGATAAGCTTTGTTCAGACATGAATTATAGTGCCATTGGCTGTGAATTCAGTCTTAATGAATCAACAGTAAATATTAGATACAGCATCTTAACATACATGCACAAAACAAGGTTATGTATTGATTGGTTGACAAAAATGTCATCAGAGGCTCATAGGAACCTAGCCCTGTATTTCTCCTAGGAGCAATGCTCTGGTATTCCCTAATTCAGTGTTTGCAGTGACTTTAAAGAACATAACTACCACAAAATAGTAAGAATTGACTGAATATCTGAATGATATAGTTTGGTTTTGCCTGCTTTTGAGCCTAATAAAAATAGAATCGTAATATTTTTATGTTTTTTTCTTACTCCATACTAAAGATTTATCTGTGTGGCTGTAGCTGTTTGTTCATTTTTATTAATGTATAATATTCTATGGTATAACTATACCACAATTAACTGTTCTATTGTTGATGGACATCTAGTTTTTTTCCAGCTTTTGGACATTATGAACAATGCAGCTCTGAGTATTCTTATATATGTATCTTAGACATGCATGCCTGAACTTCTCTGTAGCATAGACCCAGAAGTGGTTGGCTCATAGTAGTAGATAATGACAAACTGTCTCCCTAGATTCTTGAGCCAATAATAGTGAAAGTTCCTGTTATTCCACAAGCCTGATGATGCTTGATACTGTCATCGGTATGGTTGGAACTTCAATTTCCTTTTGTCCTTTTATAGTCGGTCAAGTTCATAGTGAACTAGGGAGTCTGTTCATTTAGGCTATGGAAGCCTTCTAGTAATTTGTACTTTCAGTGAATAAGGAATTCCTCTTTGTCTTTCTGCGTGTGTGTGTGTGTGTGTGTACGCGCGTGTTCTCCTTAGGGAGATTGGAGTCTAGTAGGAAAAACTACTTACGAAGCAGCGCCTTTGTAATACTGTAATACGGCAAGCTTTGGTCTATGTCTAGTAACAAGAAGCTCTGAATTACTTTGAACTTCGGATGCTTTTTGTTTTTTTTTCTTTCCACTCCTATATAAAGCTTAAGAGATGTGATTGCTGTTTTTGGCAAAAAAGGGGAATCTTTTCATATTTTAAAATTTTTGCCAGGAAACATTACCTGGAGCCAGAATAAGTGGAGGTCTTTCCAACTTGTCCTTCTCCTTCCGAGGAATGGAAGCCATTCGAGAAGCAATGCATGGGGTTTTCCTTTACCATGCAATCAAGGTATGGTAGAAGAACTCTTAGCCCTGCGGAAACCAGTTTTTAGTTGGGGCAGGGGTTTTCAAAGTGTGGCATGCAGGCTAAGTCCGGCCTGCTGCCAGTTTCTGTAAATAAGATTTTATTGGGATAGAGCCACACCTATTCATTTGTATCTTGTCTGTGGCTGCTTTTATGCTGTAACTACAAAGTTGAGTAGCTGTGACAGAGGCTATGGCCTAAAATATTTCTCTCTGGCCCTTTACAGAGAAAAGTTTGCTGATCGCTGACTTAAGGTATCACTGTAAATTCTCATTTTTATTTGTATTGCCCTTAGTCTGGCATGGACATGGGGATAGTGAATGCTGGAAACCTCCCTGTGTATGATGATATCCATAAGGAACTTCTGCAGCTCTGTGAAGATCTCATCTGGAATAAAGACCCTGAGGCCACTGAGAAGCTCTTACGTTATGCCCAGGTAGAGAGACAAGTGTTCTAATAGATGGATTTTTCCTATCTTTGAATGTATTACTCACCTACAGTTAGTAGACCTTCATGGTGGAATAGAAGCAAATATCGAATCATATATTTGGATCACTGAAGATTTCTACAGAGAGTTGCAGAGATGGTGGTGTAGCTAGGGCAAGGAAGGGTAAACAGACCATGCCTAGGGTGCTTCCGTATTCTGAACTTAGGTTTCTTTAAATTTATTGTAAAATGTAAAATTAATTTTTCTTGTACCAAGTAACATATTAGTTCTAGAAAATTTACAAAATTCTGGTAAGCAAAGGAAGAAAATAAAAATCACTTGTAATCCTACCACCCAAAGTTAAACACTTGAGATTTTGTTATAACCTTTAAGTGATGGGAGTTTTTATTTCTTTTTGCAAAATGAATATGCATGCATAGGTACATATACATACATTTTTTACAAAAATAGAACTATACTCTAGATGCTTTTATGGTAATATTTTTTTCTTAGCAGTGTACTGGGAACATATTTCCATTTTACTTGATATTTTTCTACCTCATTATTTAAAATAGCTGTTCTGGATTTTCTTGTGTGGCTATGTTAGTGTTACATGGTCCCCACTGTTCCATGTTTTGGTTTGTATACCTGTTTATGTTAGGATCTGGTCCATCTGTGGCAAAGTTCTGCAGTTCAAGGCTTAGGTCTGTGCACATTTGATGTGTAAAAAATGAGTATAATTATAGCTAATTCAAACACCAGCTTGTTTCTCATTTATATGTTGGGCGCAGTCCTAGGCACATGAAGTATCTATCGTAGATGGTTCTTCTTAGAATTCAGTTTAAGGAAAGTTGAGATCTTTACCTCAAAAGAACTTGCATTTTAATCTGTTTAAGAGAATGATGGCAAAGGAAGATATTTTTCCCACAAAGCATGTTGAGAAAGTGGTAGGATGCTTTTGTGTCTCTTGCCAACTTTGTTAATGTTTTCCATGTTAGAATCTGAATTTAGCTCTGATAGAACTGCCAACTTTGCCTCTTCCACAGAAGAGTAATAAAATGCTCTGGAAGAAGGATAGGACACTATGAGATTAACCACATCCTTGTTTTATCAGCCTTACTGGTAGTAAGACTTAGATTTCTGAAATTGCTTATGGAAGCCTTAGGCTCAACAAAGCTGAAAGGAGTTCAGACACTGTGCCAACGCTCACACGACCCTCCTCTCAGTTCCTTAAAAACATTTCCAGTTTCTCATGTGGACCCAGGACAGAATGTTTCATTTGGTTGTGGCAGATACAATCAAGTTCTACTTCTCAGCACATTACTTAAGAAACATTCCATAGATTTTTAATTTTTTTCCTATTGACCACATAGAGTGCTTAGCCCTGTCGTCTTCTTTGAACATTGAGACATGGGCGTTAAACACTATTCAGTTTTGAGTCATGGTCTATCTTCTACCTAGTAGGGGGTCCTTCATTAATAACTGTCAAAGAGTTCTGTTGAAGGCCAAAGGGGCATCATAGCCTCTATTGCCATGAAGTCATACTAGACAGTTCTTAATTAACACATGAAATGCTGTGTTTTTATCTTTTCCCTGATCTATCCAGAGGAGGCAGCCCTCTCACTTAGGAAAGGGGCTCCTTATTTGTAAGACCGTTCCCATTTAAGGTTTTTTTGGCATTGTATTTTGTGCTAGGCATTCTTTTGGTCTGTACTCACTTTTAGCGTTTGTTTACTAGCTTTCATTTCTGTATGTCATGCTGAGCTGCCAAGAGGTTTTGCCCCTGGAGGCACTGTCAAAGTGAGGGAAATCTTCATAGCAATTGCAGGAGTTTAACAATTCATCATAGAAGAATTTCCTCATTCTTAATGTAACCACGAGGGCTTCTTATAAGCCACTGACCTCTCTGTCAGGGAGACTGTCTGCCTTCAAGGTGACTTCCGTTGCCATTGAGGGAATTAATAACCAAAACAGGTATCCTCTAATAACTCTTGGGAGTCGCCAGCTCTGTAGCAATTCCTTAGGATGCGCTGAGTGAAATGGAGCATGAAGAGCAGGAATATTATGAGGCAAATAAGAGTCAAGGGATTTTTTATCTTTTATAAGAGAATGATCTCTTTCGGTTATTGCAAATGAAGAAGTCTGCACCCAGATTCCTGTCTGATATATTATTGAAACTAGTGGGAAGAGTATAGCCTCTGATCTTCCAAGGCTCTCTAATCTCACATTTGGGGAGGAATGGGATTTTTTTGAAAAACAATTTTCCTAATTTAGTTCAGACTGACCTGTGGTAAGTAAATTATTTTTGATAATAAAAATTTCCAGATACCATGTAATTTACATGGAGGATCTTTATTAAATGGTACCCTAATGGAGGCCAGGCCTCCTATGGAGTGGAAGGATTGGTGCTCTGGATAGGATGGCTGTGGAATGACCCGGGAGCTTGAGAATATTCTTGATACTTTCTGGGAAAGTTTTCTGTTCTTTGATTTGGCCTTGATCCCTTCCTTCACCATTTGAGCTCACATTCTTCCTTGGCTTTCTCTGCAGCAGTTTACTCCCTTTGATAACCTACACAACCGTGAGGCCCCTGTGAGGCAGAAGCAACTCTAGAGTGGGAAGAAGTAGTTTTTCTCATTAGCTTTGTACACGTACAGATACAAGGAGTAGCCAGATGGACATGACAATTGCTTGGTCAGTTTGCTTGGTAGCTTTCTATGTAAGCTTCCACAGTGTGCCTGGGTCTGGTCTTCCTTAGTATGTGAAAACTGTGTAGCACCTTGTTTGTGTATCATGGAGAACTCCCTATTGAATAACTACATGAATAGTGAGATGGGCCTCAGCATGCCATTGTGTATTTCTGAAATAACTGCTTTTAACTGTACTGTTTCATTTTAAGTATTGCTTTCATGAGTCAAATTCATCAGGTTTGGAACATAGCTATCAGGTGGGATAGTTTTTAGACATCACAACCTCCAACACTTCAGTGAATTCTTTACTGCTGTTTGTAGCCTCTTTTGCCTCTGTCCATAATCATATATTTTTTGCTCCCTTCCCACCCCATAAGTCTGGTACATTGTGGTATTTTTCTGTGAACACACCAGTTCCTTTTTTCAAGAGTGTTTGGAACACACCGCCCTGTTTTTACACAGCAAAACTCCATCCCCCAGGTAGGAGTTGTCTGATTGTGTGGCTAATAGAACAAATGGTATTTACAGGTATCAAGTGATGGGACTGTGAACATCAGAGGGACTTTTTCTTTTTTTTTACTATCTCGTTCAGGTTTTTCAACATATGAGAGTCCTTGTATTATTATTCCAGTTACCACTTTGGCCCTAAATCTTGGAGTTCTCCCCAATTCCTTCCTCCTCTCCTTCTTCTTTCTTCTTTCTTCTTTCTTTTTTTCTTTCTTCTTTCTTCTTGTTCTTCTTCTTTCTTTTTTTTTCTTCTTCTATTATTATTATTTTTATACTTTAAGTTCTGGGATACACATGCAGAATGTGCAGGTTTGTTACACAGGTATACACATGCTATGGTGGTTTGCTGCACCATCACCCCATCATCTATATTAGGTATTTCTCCTAATGCTATCCCTTCCCTAGCTTCCCAACCCCCCGACAGGCCCTGGTATGTGATGTTCCCCTCCCTGTGTCCATGTGTTCTCATTGTTCAACTCCCACTTATGAGTGAGAACATGCAGTGTTTCGTTTTCTGTTCCTGTGTTAGTTTGTTGAGTGTGATGGTTTCCAGCTTCATCCATGTCCCTGCAAAGGACATGAACTCATCCTTTTTTATGGCTTCATAGTATTCCATGGTGTATATGTGCCACATTTTCTTTATCCAGTCTATCATTGATGGGTATTTGGGTTGGTTTCAAGTCTTTGCTACTGTGAACAGTGCCGCAATAAACATACGTGTATGTATCTTTATAGTAGAATGATTTATAATCCTTTGGGTATATACCCAGTAATGGGGATTACTGGGTCAAATGGTATTTCTGGTTCTAGATCCTTGAGGAATCGCTGCACTGCCTTCCACAATGGTAGAACTAATTTACACTCCCATCAGCAGTGTAAAAGCATTCCTATTTCTCCACATCCTCTCCAGCATCTGTTGTTTCCTGACTTTTTATCGCCATTCTAACTGGCGTGATATGGTATCTCATTGTGCTTTTGATTTGCATTTCTCCCTCCTCTCCTTCTTAGTTATTGTCTATTAATACCTTTATATTTGTCCTTTCCTTTCCTCCTGTTACCACTACTGAGTCCAGGCCTCCATCAAGGACTATTAAAATATTCTCCCCATTTTGTGATTCCCTTAAAAATGTGACTTTGAATGTTAATCTGCAGCTTTAGAACTTTGAATAATGTCTCCCCCTTCTGCCCATGCAATTGCCTGGAAGGTCAAATTTAAACTCCACCGCATGGGTTTTTGGCCCTCTGTGTCTTGGCCTCTACCACCCTGGACAAACATTACTCCAGCAAAATCAGTCTTTGTGTAGCATTAATTCATCCAGCTAATATTTACTAAAATGTCGCTTTGTGCCATTCATTTGACTGAACTTAGAGGATCTAACTAGTAAGAGAGATGTACCCCTACCCTCTGAGAGCCTACAGCTCAGTGATACATGCAGAAATGTATAGAGGTGATTGTCACCCAGCGCAGCAAGTGCTGTGAGAGGGGAAGTGCAGGACGCTAGGAGAAGCCTGAGGGAGATTCTGACCCCAAACTAGAGATGGTCAGGGAAAGCTTCCCAGGGGAAGTGATAGGTCAGGTGAGACTTGAGAGAAATAAAGGAGGTGGCCAGGCCAAGGTTTGGGGGTAGAGTGCAGTGCTGGTGGTCCCTGCCAGGGGAGAGATATTTGCATGTAGCCAGAGTCTGGCATGGTCATAGGTACTGCATAAATGTATGTCAGATGAACAAATGCGAAGGCCTGGTGGTAAAGAGTTGATGGGGAGGGGAGCATAAGGAACAGAAGTGTTCTGGATGGCTGAAGCTTGTCGGGAATGGCAGAAGAGAAAGCCAGATCAGGTGTACTAGTCCATTCTCATGCTGCTGATAAAGACATACCCGAGACTGGGTAATTTATGAAGAAAAGGAGGTTTAATGGACTCACGGTTCCACGTGGCTGGGGAGGTCTCACAATCATAATGGAAGGTGAAAAGCACGTCTTACATGACAGCAGATAAGAGAGGGAACTTGTGCAGGGAAACCCCTTTATAAAACCATTAGATCTTGTGAGACTTACTCACTATCACAAGAACAGCACAGGAAAGACCCGTCTCCATGATTCAGTTACCTCCCACTGGGTCCCTCCCACGACGTGTGGGAATTGTGGGAGCTACAATTCAAGATGAGATTTGGGTGGGGTCACAGCCAAACCATCTCATCAGGGCATTGGATGGCATGGTAAGGAATCAGTACCATGTCGTGAAAGCAATAGGAAACTTACACAGAGATTTTTTTCACAGGGAGCAGTTGGATCAGATTTGCATTTTGGAAGCATCCTTTTGGCTACAGTGTGGAAGATGAATCAGAGACCAGAATGATTCTGGGCTGTGGAGACTACTTAGTTCTTGGGCTGTGAAAATGGAAGCAGGGTGGAGAGAAAAAGTTTTGAGGTGTAATCATTAGGATGAGGTGATTGATTGAATTTGAGTAGTGAATGGAGATTCAAAGGTGATACTTAGGTTTCCGGTTTGGCAGCTGGTACCTCCAGTTGAGGTGGAGAAAACAATAAAGTAATGCAATTTATCAGGTGTGCCATGATCATTGCGCTTTTGTTCCTTTGCTGAATCTGCCCCTTCTCATCATTCAGCTTCTTTGAAACTTTTCTTTGCCACCTTAGCTTACGATAACCATTCCTTCCTCAAAATTCCTATGTACTTAGTCTGTATTATGTACTCATTCAGCCCTTGACATATACTCCCTTTCTTTCTTTACATATTTTCTACCTCTCTTATGACATGGCTGTCTTACTCTGTTTTCTTTGGCTCTAACGGAATACCAAAGACTGGATAATTTATAAAGAAGTTTATTTAGCTCACAATTCTGGCAGCTGGAAAATCCAAGAGTATGGCCTTGGCCCCTGGTGAGGGCCTTCTTGCTGTGTCATAACATGGCAGAGGGCATCTCATGTCAAGAGGGCAAGAGCAAGAGAGCCAGAGAGATAGCAAACCTGCTTCCATGGTAGCAACATTAATCCAGCCGTCATAAATTCGTTAATCCATTCATGGGGGCAGAGGGATTAGGTTTCCAACACAACTTTTGGAGGACACCTTCAAACCATAACAATGGCAGAGTCCTTGAGAGCATAGTCTGTGTCGTACACCTCCTAGTGTGCCCACCTTTGATGTCTGACTTAGCTTCATTATGGCCTCCCTGCATCTGTTTTTGGGTACTGGTGATCCTTGTTGAGAGCTTTGAAGGCTCATTGGGTTTGGAGTATAGCTTCTCTTACTGTCCTGGAAATTTTGTGTTGAGTTGTTATTTTTAGAAAAGAGGGAAAGGAAAGAATGGAATTTTACTCTGTCTCTACACTAACAGTTCAAACCCTAAAAGATTTCTCATTTTTCCCTCTCCTTCCCTCAAACATTCATTGAGATCTTATTTTATGCTGGACAGTCTACTAGGGGCTGGAAAAGTAAAAGAAGAATAAGACACAGGTTTTTTTGTTTGTTTGTTTGTTTTGCCATCAAACAGTTTGGTTAGTGATGAGTTGTATCCATTTCTTGGTTTCAATTTCAATTCAGACTCAAGGCACAGGAGGGAAGAAAGTCATTCAGACTGATGAGTGGAGAAATGGCCCTGTCGAAGAACGCCTTGAGTATGCCCTTGTGAAGGTAAGTTACAGGGGCCTGAACTGGAGGGCTGGAGGCTCATCATGGCTGACTGATCCTGTTGTGGGCGGTGTGACAGTAGCTGGAGAAGGAGATGCCTAGACCACTGATTCTCAACCTGGGGAGGTCCCTCTTGCTGTCCCCCAGCTGCCCCCCCCCCCCCCCCCCCCCACCATAGCACATTTGACAGTGTTCAGAGACATTTTTGATTGTCGTAACTGTGCCTGGGAGGTATTACTGGCATCCTATGGCCAGGGGTGCTGCTAAACATCCTGCAGTGCCCAGGACAGCCCCAAACCACAAAGAATATTCCTTCCCAAGTGTTAGTAGCGCCGAGGCTGCGAATCCTGTCCTGGACCAAGTTGCTGGTCAGTTGGTCAGCAAGTCAGTTTCATAGTTGGAATTTTAGGCTTTAAGCAAGATCAGTAATCTCTTGGCTTCAGTTTCCTCATGTGTGAGTCTGGAGAATCTCAGAGTTTTGTTTTGTTTTGTTTTTTTTTGGCTCTGGAGTTTAACATTTAACTCTTTCACCTTTTGAGATTCACATATTTCAGTTTGTGGAGCTAGTTGGCCAATCCAAGGATCATTGAACTGGGGACCTTGGAGGAGTGGGGCTTGTCATTGAAGGGCGGATAAGTCAATGGAGGCTTCATGGATTTGAACTTCATTTAAGGGCCTCATCCAGTGTCATTTCTCCCCAGCCCTACAGCATTACAGTGAGAAAACTTACTGATTTCTCCACAGGCATTTATTAATGTATAATCTGGTAAAACACGAAGATACAAAATGGATTTTATGCATTTGAACTTATTAGTCCTTCTCTGTTAGCACATTTTACTGAGGTATATTTTAAAGCATTTTTTAATTGGCATATAAAATTGTATGTATTTACTGCATACAACATTCTGTTTTGGAAGTGTATGAGGTATTTACTTTGTTTGTATCAATAAAGCCAGCTAAGCACTTTATCTCAATCCTCAAAATAAACATATGAGATACTATTGTAATATTCTAATTGAGGAAACTGAGGCTTATTGAATTGCCTAAATTAGTGATAGGAAGCCAGATTGAGTCCATGCACTCTGCTTCTGGAACCTGTGCTGTTAGGCATTTTCATGATGGCTCTGTGGAGGTAAGGCAGTTTTTTAGGTGATTTTTTTTTTCTTTCTTTCTTTTTCTTTTTTTTTTTTTTTTGTCTTTTTTAGGGCATTGAAAAACATATTATTGAGGATACTGAGGAAGCCAGGTTAAACCAAAAAAAATATCCCCGACCTCTCAATATAATTGAAGGACCCCTGATGAATGGAATGAAAATTGTTGGTGATCTTTTTGGAGCTGGAAAAATGTTTCTACCTCAGGTTAGCAAAATATGGGGAGAAATTTTCACAGTTGCATCTTTTCTTTGTCATTTAATAAATGGCGATTTGGGATATATTTCTCAGGTTTTAATTTGGACAAGAGTTCAATGGTATTGGCTAGTCATTCCTTCTCTAAATATGTTTAGGAGTCATGTCTGCAAGAATCCGTCTTCAGAGTGGTGTGGATGTTGGAAATCCGAAAATTCTTAGCATCATAATCTATCATAATCCTTATGTTCTAATTTTTGTATCACCTCTTACCCCCAGTGCCTATCTCTCCCCTCCAAAAGTAAAGTAAAACCCAAGATAAATGTAGAGTTACTAACATTAAGACTTGATTTGACCAGGCACTGTTCATCTGTAAGGATGCATATTTTGAGACAAATGTTACTGTTTTAAATGACGGTACATTAAGTGGTTTGTTTAAAGTAAAACCAGAACTCTTACTTTGATTTACAGCAGCTGCTAACCACATCAGTTAACACATACTTGTTGAGCATGTAGGTTAGTGGCTGTGCGGCATTTGAGAAACTAAAAGGCCTTCATCTTGCCTTAATGTAAGACTGGATTTTAAGTGAGTTTTAAAGCTGGGGATTGAGAAGAGAAGGCTGGGAATGAGCTCATGGTGGAGAAGCTTTGGTCCTGAAGGATACATAGAACTCTTGGATAAAAGATAGAGGGCCTCCTAGACAGAGGAAAAAAAAACAAGCCAAAGTTCAGAAGACAGAAATTGCAACATTTGATTTCCAGCCTTGTTTTCCTTCTGCTGTACCTTATTATTCACTGGCTTTCCCTCTGGGGAGCTTATCCTTTGTTCTGCCTACTGTCAAAAGACTCCAGTGTAGCTGTCCTGAAGTCAAAGCATGCATTCCTAATGTGTGCCCAAATTTCACAAGTGGCCATCAGCAGTTGTTCCTGTGGTTTGGGAAAGATACCTGATCTATGCTTTTTTTCTCAGGTTATAAAGTCAGCCCGGGTTATGAAGAAGGCTGTTGGCCACCTTATCCCTTTCATGGAAAAAGAAAGAGAAGAAACCAGAGTGCTTAACGGCACAGTAGAAGAAGAGGCAAGTCATTTTGTTCAGGCCTATGGGCCTTTAGTGGGTTGACCTGGAAGACTTGAGGTGGTGGTAGGGGCCTAAGCAGTCAGGGTTGGCTGTGTTCGTTATTGAGGATAAAATAGAGAAATGATCCCACATCTCTCCCTTTTTTAACCGAGTATCAGAATACTCTGGGACTTTCTTTTGAATGTAGCTTTATAACATTTTTAATATAGATACAATTTTTCAATCAAAACCCATGTTTTCAAGACAAAGCCAGTTCATTCATTTGTGCCTTCATTACCTGATCATTTACGAAGCTGCTGTGATGTGCCAAGTACTGTGCCAGGCACTGCTCACTCAAAGGTCTGTCCCCGCCCTTGAGGTCATTGAGTCATGCTTGTTTTTAGAAAACTCTTAACTGAATAGTCTTTCTGCTGGTGATGTCCTTGGCACCACTTCTGGATTCAATTTAATTCTTGTTGGCTGCACCACCAGAGTAAATCATTAAGCTTTTTGACCTTGTTTAGCTCCCTGTGAAGCTCAGACAGCTTTGGCCCCTAGGATTCTGAATTTTTAAATTGATCTGTTTGTGAATGGCTCAGACAAACACAGAGTTTATAAAAATCCTTCTTGTTTTGCTTTTTTTCTTTTTTTGGGGCAGTAGTGGGGGATGCTAACTGTGCATAGAACAACAGTGCTGAGGAAAGATACTCACGTGCCCTCTGTCTGGGCTGTTGTGGTTTTTCAGATTCAGATGGGACATACACATACAGTTAACCTGTTCCTTCCCCTCTCCCCTGCCTCTCCCTTAATGGCTAACCGTAAACATTTGTCAAATAAGTTCCCCCGCACCCAGAGTTAAGGATGTGGTCTTCAGCTGTGGTGCTGTTTTGTGTGTGAACATCAACTATTCTTTGAAAGGATGGGACCTCCTGATCTTGGCTGAAGCCCCTTGGGCTAGCCCATTAGGTGGGCCTCCTTTGAACTGTTTGGGCTTCGGTTTCCAGGTCTGTCTTTGAGGTGCTCTTGGTTGTATTGAATTGCTTTCTGTGCTGGCCCCTGCCTGGCTCTGGAGAACTAGGTGTTCCACCCTAAACAACCCTGCCTTGCTGAGCTGCTTGGCTTCCTTTCCAGGACCCTTACCAGGGCACCATCGTGCTGGCCACTGTTAAAGGCGACGTGCACGACATAGGCAAGAACATAGTTGGAGTAGTCCTTGGCTGCAATAATTTCCGGTAAGTTAGGACCTCACCTCTTTCAACCCCTTTTCCATTTAAAAATGAAAGCCTTTTAACAGAATAATTCTTCAATGGGTGGGAAGAGTAGGGCATGGCAGTGGATGTTAGAGGTTATTTTTTATTTCTTTTTGCTTGCTGTGTTTTTGAATTTTCTACGTGAACACAGCATTTCAAATGAAATAAGTTAGTAATTATCCGTGTTCAAAAAGGACATAAAGAATAGTAAAAGCTATTCAAGTGGGGTGGAAACCGTCCAGAGGATTCCTGGGGTTGGATGTTGGGACAGAGGTGCTAATAGCCGGAATATCAGGCTCCTTCCCATGGCCAGTGGTGTTCATCATATCCTCTTTTTCCTTTCAATAAACTTAGATTTTAGAACCGAGATCTTATGAGACCTTGGCTAAACAGTTTTACAGGAAGGCCTTCTCTGTACAAGTCTCAGTTGGCTTTGCTTAGAGCCAGGACCCTGTGTTCTTGGTGATTAAGCTAGATTTTGGAATGTTGTATACAAGTAAAACCCCTTTCTATCTTATTATAATTAATAAATATTCATAACAAAATCATTTGCATGTGAGAGCTGATGACCTGTAGTAAGTATGTGTTTCGCTTAGATTTGAACATATTCTTTGTAATGAAAAGCCTGATGGAAATAATGCTTTCCCATATCCATGTCCAGCCAACAGTCCTTTTGAGTCATAGACTTCTTTCCAATGTGCCATTTTCTCTAGATAGAGAAGAAAATTGACTGGAGCTATCCCTGTACTCCTCAGTTCTCTTCTTTGCTGTCAAGTAACAATTACCTGCTAAGCTGTGTCCCTGCTGTCAACATTTTTATCCATCTCTGCCTTCAAGGCTCATTAAATGCGGCTAAGAACCTTTCAGGAAGGCTGGAGACAGAGAAGCAGTGTCAGGAAGGCATTTTTTTTTCCCTCTGACTGTCTTCACAAGCATTTCTATTTACCTGCTCACTTACTGTCTAAAGACTTAGCGTTCTCTCCTAGTCCTAGAAACGAGGAATACTATTTCTATCCATGTACTTACTATTTTTTAAAGAGATAAATTTATTGAAGATAGATAGTTGTAATGAAATTTTACCTATATAATAAATATTTGGATAAGGTGTTCGCTTCCTAAAGTCTACAAAGCATTTCTGCTATAGGCTTACCTTTGCAAACCTGAGGTTGTTGGTTCCTGTTTGCATTCATCACAGTCAGTTAAAATTCACTTCAGTTAATGTTTATAGATCATCTTCTACTTACCAGGCATTATACTAGAGACACCAAAATGATTTAGTTGACTTTTCTCCTTGAAAAAGTTTACTGTTTCTCAGGCTAAATAGCCAGGTACATGTTCAGCCTTAATGGGACAAGAACCATTGAAGAAAGTGACTTGTAGGTAAACTTCCTAAAAGTGATTCTTGAGGTATCATTGTCATGTGCTTTATCATCATTTATTTTGATCAGTGGATTCTTAGCTGAGAGTATTATACTAGCAATGTTTATTTCTCCAGTAAAGACATTTTAAGAAGCCAGGGAACATTGTGGCATTTCTCCAGGGTGCTACTGGAACTGAATGTCAGCAGTTGTGAAGACTGCGTATTAAGCCTGAGGCTTTCCTGCAACAAACCCAGTTGCTATGTGTTGGGCACTGAGGGTTTGCGTATCTTTGCTAATAAGTCTAACTGGAGAAACACTTTCTGATGAAACGTTACTTTCATTTTACAAAAACAAGTGAATGTGCAAACTTCATGTCAAACACTCCTTTGGCTTGTGTGTGATAACACATAGACTCTTCCATTGGTGAGTTTAATTTTATGGTGTCAGCTAGTAGACAAGTGTCCCTGGAGATTGTCTTATGGAATAATGTGTACTTTTACTGTCAGTACCAGGCTAGTATGCTTGAAGGAATTACCTAGCCTAGTGAGTGAGTCTAGCAACCTATCCTGTATCTAATCCTTTTCTTTCCTGGCTTTTTATCATTGTTGCAGTGAATCTCAAAAATGATAACAATGTTTTTTCTTTGTGGGGATAAAAGAAATAAAGAGGGCTAAAACTGACAGTTCTGTTTAGAGAGAAAATGTATTTTTTAAATGGGGAAGATATGATGCAATAGAATTGCAAATTTGAGGATTTGAATAGAACTAAGGATGTATTCACCAAGAATCTAGTATTACCTACCATTTGTTTACCACTTCCCAATTTATACAGTTCTTTAGTATCACTGATTTTTTTTTCTTTGTCACCTTTTTGTTGTTGTCATTTTGGTTCCTTTCCTTTCTTTTCTTTCATCCTTCCTTTTCATGGTTTTGATCCTACTACCCTGCCTGTTATTGTATTTCTCCTTTTATAGATGAGAAAACTTAGGCTTAGAGAACTTGAGAGATTTCATCATAGTCACATGGCTAGCAAGTGTCATGGGCAAGCACATTCAGGGCTTTTGGTTCTAAAAGCTGGGACTTCGTAATATGTCACCTTACTTTACAATATTTTTTTTGACTTGAGTTGTAAACAAGTATAATGTCTAATATTGACACAGGCATACCTTGTTTTATTGTACCTCACTTTATTGAGCTTTGCAGATACAGCATTTTGTAAAAATTTGAGTTTTGTGGCAATCCTGCATAGAACATGTGTCTTGATGGCATTTTTCCAATAGCATGTGCTCATTTCACGTCTCTGTGTCACATTTTCCTAATTCTCACAATATTTCAAACCTTATTATTGTATCTGTTATGATGATCTGTGATCAGTGATCAGTGTTACTATTTTAATTGTTTTGGGGTACCATGAACCACACCCATAGAAGATGGCAAACTTAATCCATAAATATATATATTTTGACTGTTCCACTAACCAGCCATTCCCCATCTCTCTCCCTTTCCTCGGGCCTCCATAGTCCCTGAGACACAACAATATTGAAATTAGGCCAGTTAATAACTCTGTAATGGCCTTGTAATCCTCTAAGTGTTTAAGTGAAAAGAAGAGTCACACACCTCGACATTAAGTCAAAAGTTAGACATGATTAAGTTTAGTGAGGAAGGCATGTCAAAAACTGAAATAGGCTGAAAACTAGGCTTCTTGCACCAAATAGCACAGTTTATGCAAAAGAAAAGTTCTTAAAGGAAATCTAAAATGCTCCTCCAGTGAATACACAAAGGATAGGAAAGCAAAACAGCCCCACTGCTGTTATGAGGAAAGTTTGAGTGGTCTGGATAGAAGATTAAACCAGCCACAATATTCCCTTAAGCCAGAGTCTCACCCAGAGCAGTTTGGCATTGCTGGAGCAATAACAAATTGAAGAGAGCTCCAACCGTCTTCAATTTTGTGAAGGCTGAGAGAGGTGAAGAAGCTGCAGAAGAAAAGTTTGAAGCTAACAGAGGTTGGTTCATGAGGTTTAAGGAAAGAAGCTGTCTCCTAACATAATGGTACAAGGTGAAGTGCAGGTGCTGATGGAGAAGCTGCAGCAAGTTTTCCAGATCTAGCTGACATCACTGAGGAAGGTGGCTATGCTAACCAATAGGTTTTCAATGTAGATGAAATAGCTTTCTGTTGGAAGTAGGTGCCATGCAGGACTTTCATAGCTAGAGGGGAGAAGTGAATGCCTGGCTTCAAAACTTGAAAGGACAGGCTGACTCTCTTGTGGAGGGGCTGATGACTGTCAGTTGAAGCCAGTGCGCATTTGCCATTCTGAAAATTCTAGGGCTTTAAGAATTATGTTAAATCTACTCTGTCTGTGCTCTATAAATGGAATGACAAAGCCTGGATGAGAGCACATCTGTTTACAGCATGGGTTTACTGAATATTTTAAGCCTACCATTAAGACCTACTGCTCAGTAAAAAAGATTCCTTTCAAAATATTACTCCTCATTGACAGTGCACCTGGTCACAAGAATTCTGATAGAGATATACAAGGAGATGAATATTGTTTTCATGCCTGCTAACACAACATCCATTCTGCAGCCTGTGAATCAAGGAGGAATTTTGACTTTCAAGTCTTACATTTTGTAAGGCTGTAGCTGCCATAGATAGTGATGGATCTGGGCAAAGGAAATCAAAAAACCTTCTGTAAAGGATTCACCATTCTAGATGCCATTAAGAACATTTGTAATTCATGGGAGGAGGTCAAAATATCAACATTAACAGGAGCTTGGAAGAAGTTGATTCCAACTCTCATAGATGACTTTGAGGGATTCAAGACTTCAGTGGAGGAAGTAACTGCCGATGTGGTAGAAATAGCAAGAGTAAACCAGAATTAAAAGTGGAGCCTGAAGATGGGAATGAATTGCTACAATCTCGTAATACAACTTCAACAGATGAGGAATTGCTTCTTACGGCTGAGCAAGGCTGAGCAAAGAAAGTAGTTTCTTGAGATGGCTATGAACAGTGTTGAAATAACAACAGAGGATTTAGAATAAACAGCACGTAAACTTAGGTGATAAAGCAGGGGCAAGGTTTGAGATGATTGGCCTACAATTTTGAAAGAAGTTCTGTGAGTAAAACGCTATCAAACAGCATCACATGCTGCAGAGAAATCTTTTGTGAAAGTTAGATTCAATTGGTGTGGGAAACTTCACTGTCGTCTTATTTTGAGAAATTGCCACGGCCACCCCAAACTTCTGCAGCCACCACTCTAATCAGTCAGCAGCCATGAACATCAAGTCAAGACCCTCTACCAGCAAAAAGGTTACAACTCACTGAAGACCCAGATGATCATTAGCATTTTTTTTTTAGCAACAAGTATTTTTAAATTAAGGTATGTATACCTTGTTCTTTTAGACATAATACTATTGCACACATAATAGAGTACAGTATAGTGTGAACATAACTTTTATATGCATTGAGAAACCAAAAAATTCACATGACTCACTTTATTGAGATACTTTATTGTAATGGTCTAGAGTTGAACCTATAGCATCTCTGAGTTATGTCTGTATTCTAAATTCCCCTCAAGAAATAATGTAGAATATTTGGAAATATTTTTGATTAATTCCATTGAGGTTAATTTTACATATACTCTGTAATAGTAACTAGGAAAAGACAAAAGAGGACATTTTCCATTACAGATAATGCACAGTGTTTAATTATGTAAGAAAAATACGCTATTTCATGATACATTTTAAAGTTATACATCATACATCTAATGTTTTTAAACATGGGTCTGATAACCAGTGGTTCTTAATATAACTGTCTAGTATACGTAAAAGAGCAGTATATGGCTGAGCATGAAAATAATTCCAAACTGTATAATGTTGGAACGTTCAGCTGAGTGAGGAACATGATTGTACCTAAGTCAAAGATACGGTAATGCAGTCTCTCCTGAGAACTTCACATGCTGATAATTATTTAGAGGATTTGGATCCATTTTTTGAAGGAGAGATCAACAATTTGTTTATTTTTTTTAAAAAGTAATGGAAATGGCAACAGACCCCACTGGCACTACTTAAGTACAGGTTGGAAACCATGGCTGGACTGCAGACTGGATGGAAACACATGCCATCTTGTGGTGGCATGTGTGAATTGCAGGAGCAGCAGACAGGCTGCCACCTTAGTTAACTGAGAAATAAAGGGTAAAATGACAGCAAGTATCAGGTACCTTAAAAGGATGCAGATGCAGTTTTATTTTCCTTTTTAAATTTCTTCTGGAGACGAAAAGGACTTTTTGTCTTACATTACAGTATTTTTGAAATTCTGTGTATTCTTAAATAGTATGAGATGCCTTTGCTAAAACATTCAGTGCAACTTTTTTTTTCCTGGATTAGTATCCAAATTAAATGCTTGCTCTCATAGCTCTATTCTAAGCACTTAAAAAAAGAGTTTTTTTGTAGAGACAAAGTCTCGCTAATGTTGCCCAGGCTGGACTCAAACCCCTGGCCTCAAGTGATCCTCCTGCCTTGGCCTCTTAAAGCACTGGGTTTACAGGCATGAGCCTCCATACCCAACCTCTCTTCTGAGCACTTTAAAACAAATACTGTAAAATCAACAACTTCCGTAACATTCATTTTTATTCTCTTTAGCCTCCCATGTGGCGAAATACAGGAATGTGTATAGGGAGAGGCTTACAGACATAGGGTATGGCTCAAAATGACAAAGGGAAACTGAGGGAGAGTCAAGGAAGATGGGGTTATGTGTAGGGGTAAAACAGGAGGTTGTGGTAGAGGTGAGAGGGATGGTGGGAAGAATGGTAGCAGGCACAGAGGGCAGGCTGGATCTGACCTGTGCCCTCTTCTCCGACTTCACATACCCTGGGATTCCTAGCTAGTTCAGGACTCTGGGCCCTCATAGTGCTGGTCTCTGCCTAGACTTCCCTGTTTCCTTCAGCTAATACCCACTTAATTTTTCAAAATCCATTTCAGACTTTCCCCTAGGATGCTTCTGGTTGTCACCCATTTTGGGCCTTCCATACATAGTACACTGTAAATGCTTTCATTGTAGTACTTGCCACACCATATTCTAATTCAGAGCTTGCCAACAGTTTCTCAACTCAGATGTGCCAGGAAACCCATTCTCTTTCCTGCTGGAGAGTGGAACTGGGCCTCTGTCCTACATGGGTTGACCAGGGCTGTGAGCAACTTCCTTTGTGCATCCCAGTACCATAAGTGTCATTTCAGTGTGTGGAAATAGTGAGAATTGCCCTCTAATCAATAGTACATTTGACTATTTCCCCAGCAAGACGACTTTGAAGGCAGGCTAATTAGCTGGAAATTGAACTTGTCACCCAGGCCTCTGGCTCAGTGTTCTTGGTCGTTTTCTTACCTCACTGATCTGTGGTTATGATTCTCTCCTGCTGATCTCTCCTTCTGGGAGTGGTCTTTAAACACAGAAATGTTCTGGGGCTCAGCCCTTGGACCTCTTCTCTGTCTTCACTGTCTAGATGTGTGTTTCTCAAACTGTAATGTACCTTCTTGTCACCTGGGGATTTTGTTAAAAGTCAGATTCTGATTAGGGTAAGTCTGGACTGGAGGTTCTGCATTTCCGACAAACTCTCAGATAGGGCTGGTGCTGCTGGTACAGGAGCACACCTGGAGTAACAAGGCCTGGGGTGGGCTGAAGTCGTCTCATTCGTTTTGTGACTTCAGTATCATCTGATGTACTGACAAGTCCCAAATTGTATCTCCACTGTGGATCTCTCCCCCAGACTTTAGACTTACATATCCAGTGGACTCCCTGACAGCTCCATTTGGATATCTAAAGAAATCTCAAATTTAATATTTTGAAAACTGAACTAATTGCCACCATTTTGTGAACACCTCCCCAGCTCTCCCCTATTTCAAGAAATAGCAACTTCATTTTTCTTGCTGCTCAAACCGAAACTCTTGCGTCATCCTCTCGTCAGATAACCCGCATGTAACCCATCAGTTCTCCTTTCACAGTATTTCCAGGATCTGACCACTTCTCACTACCTACACTGCTTCTTGTCTGGATTTTTGCAGCAGCCTAACCAGTCTCTCTGCTTCTCTACCCCGGACTTGTTTCAGTCCCAAGTAAATCTGTTAAATCTAAGTCAGATTTCTTACTCCACTGTTCAGACCCTCCAGTGATTTCTCTCTTCGCTCAGTAAAACTCAGAGCCCTTGTAGTGGTCTGCAAGGCCCTTGTGTAGTGGGTATAATCTGGAAGCTTCCCGGACCCCACCCCTGGTCAGTTAAATCACAGTCTCTGGAAAATGGAGTCCAAGCTTCAGGTTGTTTGATTTTGAAAAGGCTCCCCTGGTGATTCTGATGCGAAGTCTACACAGGCTCTGGCCTTTTCCTCCTCCTCTGAACTTATCACCCACAACTCTATCCTTCTCCGTTTCTGTTCCAGCCACAACAATTTCCTTACTCTTCCTTAAACATGGCAAGCATCCACATAAGATGTTCCTGAGAGAAACACTGCTGAAACAAGAAAAAGCAGTGACAGCAAGATGATTCTTGCCATCATACTGATGCGTTTTAGTTGAATTTTAAAACATATACAATGTTAAAAAAAAAATCAGCTTTGAAATGTATGCCTTTTTGTCTTGATTTAAAAGCAGTATGCTATTTTTCCTAGTTTTATATGTGACAGTCTATGCTTAGTCATTGTTTAACAAAAGATCCAGGTACTAGACTTTCTTCAATATGTTAAAAAGAAAAAAAAAGCATGTGGTACCATCTCACTCCTGCTATAACCTGCAGTGGTTATACATCATTAACACCTCCAGCGTGCATTTGCTACTGGGTTAGTGCCAACAAAGCTGAATATACTTACCATTGATTTGAAGTTGTCTTACTTTTTACTGAAGATTCCATATGTCATAGTTTTTTTTTTAACTTTTTTTAAAAAAGTAATATGAGTACAAGCTAAAAATCCAGTGGTATGAAAGGGCATATAGTGAGAAGCCAGTCCCCTTCCTGCCCCAGCGTTCAGCACCCATTGTTACCAGCCAGTATGTCATGTTGTAGTCTTAAGCATTCTTTTTTGTTCTTGTTATTTAAACGTTTTTGCCTATTTAATTTTAAGAATTGTTGATGTAATGAAATAAGTAAAAATGCATGCTGTAAGTTTTTCAACATCTTTTAACAAATAGAAGAAGGTTAAATTATCAAAATGACATTAAGGTACTCTGTAAATTTAAAATAGAAGTAATTCCTAGAACATTTTCCAGGGCAGACATTCCTGTTTCCTCTGAGTTCCAGGAAGCTCTCTCCTCCATGAATTGAAATTTGTCTGGCACTGTTCCGTTCTCTGAGAGTGTGCTCCAGGCTTCCTCTGCCCCAGCGCCTGTTCTCCTGTGTGCCCATCTAGAGTCTGCCTTTCCTTTCAGTCTTGCCCTCTTGCCCTCGGTGACCTGCACCCTGAATCACTCTCCCTCTTTTTCTTGCGTTAAGTAATCAGAGTTCCCTGACAGCTCTTCGTGTGCAGGACCTGACCTCTTTTTCATGATCTTCCCTGTTGGCTTCCAAGTTCAACAGGTGTTTATTGAGGAACTTCCCTAGCCCTTTTTATTGGCCTAAATAGATAAGATAATGGATTTTGGAGTGAGATACTGATTCAGATCCCAACTCTGCCTCTAATTAGTTGTGTGACTAGACAGATTGCTTAATTTCTCTGGGCCCCTTCTCATTAAAATGAGACCCATAGTAGTGCTTTCATGATAGAGTTACTATGAGGGTTTAAATGAGATCATTTATGCAGGCCGGGCACTGTGGCTCAAGCCTATAATCCTAGCTCAAGCCTGTAATCCCAAAGGAAGCCGAGGTGGGAGGATCACTTGAGCCCAGGAGTTTGAGACCAGTCTGGGCAACATAGGGAAACCCTATCTACAAAAACTGTAAAAATTAGCTGGGTTTAGTGGGGCATGCCTGTGGTCCCAGCTACTCTGGAGGCTGAGGCAGGAGGTCAAGGCTGCAGTGAGCCGTAATCACGCCACTGCACTCCAGCCTGGGTGACAGAATGAGACCCTGTCTCAAAAACAACAGCAAAAGAGATTGCTTATGCAAAAAGCTGAGCACAGTGTCTTTCAACAGATGAATGGATAAGCAAAACATGTTATCTCCATACAGTGGAATATTTTTTGGCCTTAAAAAAGACTGAACTTCTGACATGCCTCAAAACATGGTTGGACTTTGAAGGCACTGTGCTAAGTGAAGTTTAGCCAAACACAAAAGGATGAATACTGTATTATTCTACTTATGCGAAATATCTAGATAAGGCAAATTCATAGAGAAAGAAAGTAGAGTAGAGGTTACCAGGGGATGGAGTGGAGAGGGTGGGAGAGAAGAAGGGGTAGTTATTGCTAAATGGTTACAGTGTTTCTGCTCTGGGTGATAAAATAAGTTTGGACGTAAATAGTGATGATGGTTGCTCAACATTGTAACTGAAATTCATGCTACTGGATTATACATTGAAAAATGGTTAAAATGGAAAAGTATATATTATGTATATTTCACCACAATTAAAAAAATAACATACCAGAAACCATTGAATTGCACACTTGAAATGGGTGAATTGTATGGTATGTGAATGATGGTCGGTAAAGCTGCTTAAAAGCAAGCTTAGCATAGTGCCTGGCGTATATGTAGTAAGTACTGAATAAATGGTAGTTGTGGTGGTAATCCTCAATATTTAGTGAGCATTTCAACTTGATTCTCGTTTACATTAGAGCAGTATTTAATGGTTGAAATAAAAATGTTCATTTCAGTTTTGTCTCTAATGGGCTTTCATTAATTTTCTCATGTCTCATTTCTGTGCCTCAGAGTTATTGATTTAGGAGTCATGACTCCATGTGATAAGATACTGAAAGCTGCTCTTGACCACAAAGCAGGTACTGTGCAACTATACTTTGGGCATTTCTCTAAATGTCATATCCCCAGGTGTCTGTCATTTCCCTAGTTGTCTGTCAGTGAATAGTGATGCCCCATGAGGGTTCTGTGGGACATACAATCAAGTGCCAGCTCCTGCACCAGGTTGCTTTCATTGCCATTTCTAATGGGGTTGAGAGACGAGAATGAGTAACTATGGAACCGAGTCCTGGAGATGGGGAATGGGGACAGACTTCTTAGAACAGTTGTATGTAGTCATTTTTATATTTCTTCTCACACTGTGATATATTCAAGTCCGGGAAATCATGAGCTAAATATACCTTTATTGCATCGTTTCCTAAAACTATGGCAAGTAATTATTGCAACTTTAAGTTATAAATCTTATTTACTACCAAAAGCAAACAATAGATTGAAATTCCCCAGTCGGAAAAGATGTCTTAGAATTAGAAACTGGGGATGGGCGCAGTGGCTCACACCTGTAATCCCGGCATTTTGGGAGGCTGAGGCAGGCGGATCATTTGAGGTCAGAAGTTTGAGACCAGCCTGGCCAACGTGGTGAAACCCTGTCTCTACTAAAAATACAAAAATTAGCCAAGCTTGGTGGTGGGCACCTGTAATCGCAGCTACTCAGGAGGGGCAGGAGAATCGCTTGAACCCAGGAGGCAAAGGTTGCAGTGAGCCGAGATCGCGCCACTGCACTCCAACCTGGGCAACCGAATGAGACTCCATCTCAAAAAAAAAAAAAAAGAATTAGGAATTGGGAATTCATGTTAGGTCTTTTGGTCTTCATTACAAAGTTTTTTAAATGGATCTTCATCCTTTTCCTTTTTCTTTCATCTTCCTCACTGTCCTTTTTGTCCTTTTTTTTTTAAAAAAAAAAAAAATAGATATAATTGGCCTGTCAGGACTCATCACTCCTTCCCTGGATGAAATGATTTTTGTTGCCAAGGAAATGGAGAGATTAGCTATAAGGATTCCATTGTTGATTGGAGGAGCAACCACTTCAAAGTAAGTTATACTAATGAGCTTTGTCCTCACTTCAAATTTTCTTATATGCCAGTGTTTGAAACAGTGGGAAACCTGTGTTGTTTTGGATTTTCCCTTATGTTTAGTACATTGACTTTTTGTTATATAAACACAAACATTTTCTGGTGTTCACTTGGGTGAGAGCCAGAATACTTTCAGAGCATGCTATAGAAAACTTTTTGTGATTCCTATTCTTTGCTTTTTCTTGGATTTCTTTGGCTTGCAATAATCTTTTTCTTAACACTCTCACTTGCGATTCAGTTCCTGAGAATTATAATGAACTCTTCTCGTGAAATTAAACCGAGTGGAGAAGCTGTGTTTTTTGGCACAAAATCATTACTTGAACTTTTGCCCACTCTGTCTTGAAGCAGGTGTCTGACTGAATGATTACAGGTTCCTTTGAAGGAACTCTAACCTTGTAGTAGTTTGGAGACAGAAAGCCCATCTAGCAAGAATGAACTAAATGGTCACTTTGGGGAGTTCCTGAAAGGGGAGCTTTGTGGGAACCTTTGGGTTAACAACATAAAGAGGTATAAAATGTAAAGATGAGAAAGTTCAAATTTGTTCACATGATAATTATTCAGTTTACCAGATTTTTCCTGGGATCATGATCATAGTGATATGTGGTAAGTGCTACGTTAACTGTGGGTACTAGACTTTTTATGCCATGTACAGTTCACTTTCTCAGCATTATCATACTGGAACATTGAACACAGTGGTCCCATAGCATCTAGTTTATTTTTCTGATGCAGAAATACAATAAAGGTCTGGTTATAGGTATGCCAGAAATACAATAAAGATCTGGGTATAGGTATACAATAAAGGTCTGGTTCCATAGGTATGCCACAATAAAGGTCTGGTTATAGGTATGCAAAAGAAAAGTGTTCCTTTTGCACTACAAACAACTGTACTTTTAGCCAATTTGTATAGGGTTGTTCAGAGGAACAGAATCAATAGGATATGTTTATATATAGAGAGAAAGAGATTTATTTTAAATAATTAACTCCTGTGATTGTGGAGGCTGGCAAGACTGAAATCTGCAGGCTGGAGACACAGGTAAGTTGATTTTTTGAGTCTAAAGGCAGTCTAGAGGTGGAATTTCTTCTTCCTTGTAGGGCTGGGGAGTGAATAAGGGACTCCTTGTCTTGTCTCTTAAAGGTCTTCAGCTGACTGGATGAGGCCCACCAACATAGTGGAGGATAATGTGCTTTACTTAGGTCTACTGATAAATGTTAATCACATCAAAAAAAATACTTTCACAGTAACATTTAGGTTGTGGTTAACCAAAAAGTAGATACCATGGCCTAGCCAAGTTTATACGTGAAATTAACCATCATACCATTTAAAATTTGAATGAGTCATCTTCATAAGTAGAAACAGTATTATGTGTCTTTTATCCATTAGCTGTTCTTCATACTTGAAGGATTCGATAGTTTGACTATCGTTGCTTAACGTTAGAAAACAGGGTTTGCGTTTCCACAAAGGACTTATGTACCAGGAAATGTGGCAGACTTGGTCTCAAGGGATATGGCCACCCATTAATAATGGGTTTTGATGAGCATGGGCTTGGGTAATTGATGACAGGCTTAGTGAAGAGAATGGTAAGAGGACCTATGGACTGTTGTCAGAATGAAAGACTTTAATATCAACTGTGAAGTAGAATAAATAAATATTTAAAGGAACATAATTAAAATACATTATGTGTTATGTAAATATGATGCTGGCTTCAAAAAAAGAATCTTTTTATATGGTGGGACACTACACTCAGAAATTTGCTTCTTGTGCAAATTGGAACTTTACCAAATAGTCCATTCTATCATTTACTATGTAAAAGCTACCAGATTAAAGAAAAAAAAACATTGAGAAGCAACGTGACTAGCCTCTCAAGATACATTATTGGCAAAATTAGCTTGCTAATGATTCTTAGCAGTTGCAACCTGATATATCAGATTAGAATTAACAAGATAGGAAATCACCAACATCTCTTCAGTTACTGCGAAATATCTATTCTCATTGTCTGGGAAACTGTAAATGTGTTTGGCCTGAAGGTAGAAAGCTGAGTCCACTGACCACCTAAGGTTTCTTTCAACTCTCCAGAGCATTGTTTCTGTATGAGCCCTGCCTCTTCTGGTTCTCTTCTCTTCCATGCCTGTTGCAGTTTCTGGGAAATTACTTGGAAAATAAGAGCTAGTAGGTAGCACTGCTTCCCGGGAACCATTCCCTTCTACACTGTGGTGCTGGAACAGCCTTTGGAAAACAGATTTCCACGCAACCTCCAAGCACTTCACTGTAGAATTTCCCAGTTCTGACTCCATTCTAATTAGTGACAGTGGATGAGGTCTGCGATCTGAGGTCTTGCTTTAGCAAGCTCTCTTATTTAAGTAAGTGCTTTTACAGAAGTTTAGCAGTTATACAGAAAAGTACACAAATCATATAGATGTACAACTTGACAAGTTTTTACAAAAGGGAACCCACCCATGTAACCACCTCCAGATCAAGAAATAGAACACTAATGGCACCCTAGGAACCTCAGCAGGTTCCTCCACCCAGTCATCCTTTCCAACAAAAGTAACCACTGTTCTTTCTTGTCACCATACGTTGGTTTTGCTTGCATTTCAACTTTATATAAGTGGAGTCATATTGTATGTGCTCTCCTGTGTCCGGCTTCTTTTGCCCCACATCAGCCTTGTTACGATAGTTGTTTGGTTTTTTGTTGGTTTTTTTTCAATGTAGTATTCCATTGTATAATGTGCTGTGACTTATTTACTCTTGCTACTGTTGGTGGACATTTGAGGTTTTCCACTTTGGGGCTATCACAAACAATGCTGCTATGAACACTTATGCTTATGAATTTTGGTGCACATGTATGTGTATTTTTGCCTAGAAGCAGAATTGCCAGATCATAGGATATGCCTATGATCATCTTCATTAGCTATTGCCACATAGTTTTCCAAATTGTAGCAATTTACACTCCCACAAGCAATTGTGAAAGTTCCAGTTATTCCACGTTCTTTTCAATGGTATCCCTTGTCATGGGTGTAGTAATACCTTGCTATGGTTTTCGTTTGCATTTCTCTGCTGAGTAATGATGTTGAACACCTTTTCATTTATATATTGACCATTTGGATATGCTTTTTAAATATTTTTAAAAATTGGGTATTCTGCTTTATTCTTATTGGTTTGTACACATTCTTTAGTTTATAGTAGTTACAAGTCCTTTATCAGAAATACATATATTGCAAATAGATTTTTTTTCAATCTGGCTTGCCTTTTGCTATCTTAGTGCTGTCTTTGGATAACAAAAGTCTTAATTTTTATAAAGTCCGATTTATCAGTCTCTTCATATATGGTTAATGCCTTTTGCATCCAAATAAGTAAGTCATCTCCTAGGAGAGCCACCTTTGCTAGAAATAGAAAGCATTCAGGAGTTGAAGTGTCTCAGAAGCCCATCTGAGAGCCCTTATGATTTCCCACAAACCAGTGGAGGACTTAGCAGTAGCTCATTAGCTCAGGACTTCCACGTTTTCATGAAAACATCGCTGAGGGGAGATAACCCTATGGCTTTTCCAGACATCAGTGACTTGCAGTAGCGTGAGTAGAACTGGAACTGTACCCCCAAGATACTCGAAATGAAGGTTAAGGCTGTCTAGTGCAGGAGTGTCCAGTCTTTTGGTTTCCCCGGGCCACATTGGAAGAATTGTTTCAGGCCACACATAAAATACACTAACACTAACAATAGCTAATGAACTGAAACAAAAAAAATCTCATAATGTTTTAAGAAAGTTTATGAATTTGTATTGGGCCACATTCAAAGCTGTCCTGAGCTGCATGTTGGACAAGCTTAGTCTAGTGGATGAATCGATATTTGGAGAGATTGAAAGAGTTCAATAGATTTGGGGTCTTTGGTCCCTGAGCACACACTGGGCATAAAACAGGAGGGTCTCAGGAGGCCATGGAGTTCATTAATCTGCCCCAGGGCCATGGTCTGGCCTCCCTACCACTCTGTACCCCAGCCTTCCCATTCCAAAAGATGGCTCTTGACTCACTGGCTTATGCCTGAATGCCCATCTTCCAGCTCAGTTCTCATAGCCTAAGGCTTTGTAGTCCTTTGCTTCCGTTTACAAGTGGACATACTGTTAGGAAGATGGAACAGGTGAAGTGTTACTGGTCTTGTCTGTCTTATGAGTTTTTAGAGCCTTCCTTGAGAAGCCTGTTAAAAACACACTCATGCATATATTACACCTATAACAGTCTCTTGGTTTTTAAAAATTACCTCAATGATCCACATTTACTAGACCATGTCAAACAATTCAGAGGAATGTAAAGTACAATTGAATCTCTCTCTTCCAACCTTCAGCCTCACCTCTAACCCCCATAACCAGTGTGGACACTTCGATGTGTATCTTCCTGTGTTTTTTCTAAATATATAGAAACTTAGATACAGGATTGGTTGGTTGTTTGGAAAAGCTTGAGGGTGGTGTTTCTTAAAAATACAATTGCATTAAATATAGTGTTCTGCTACTTTGTTTCTTTCTCATATAATAGCATATTCTGGATAATATTCCAAACATATGTTTTTGTCGAGGGGGAAGAATATGAAAGCACTTGAGGAAGAGTACTGCTACTTCTGGGGAGGAGGAGAGAGGATAAAAGGCAGAAAGCACTGCCCATCTCATGGGGACTGCTGCTGGCCACCCTTCTAAAGGTGGGATGTGGCCAGAACACAATTCTCCTCCCTCTCCAGGGGTTCTGGATTAACCACTGTAAGGGAGGCTGTACATGTTTTCAGTTTTCACTTTAATTCATTATGTTCTATCATGAAATAGCAGATTTGTAGCCTATCCTATTGCTGTAAACATGCAGTCATCACAGGGCAGTTTGTTTTGCACTTCTGTTAATTAGGCAATTTTAAGAATGAAAGGGCCTTTCTTCCTAATACCAACATTTTCAAGTTTGGTAATAGGGATGTGGGGCTGAACCAATCCTAAATATTAAAAGTAAAATATTGGCCAGGCACAGTGGCTCATGCCTGTAATCCCAGCACTTTGGGAAGCCGAGGCAGGTGGATCACTAGGTCAGGAGATCGAGACCATCCTGGCTAACACAGTGAAACCCCATCTCTACTAAAAAAAAAAAATAGAAAAAAATTAGCTGGGCATGGTGGCGGGTGCCTGTAGTCCCAGCTACTTGGGAGGCTGAGGCAGGAGAATGGTGTGAACGTGGGAGGCGGAGCTTGCGGTGAGCCGAGATTGCACCACTGCACTCCAGCCTGGGTGACAGAGCTCCGTCTCAAAAAAATAAAATGAAATAAAATAAAAATATTTTTCTTGCTTTTGCCTCTCTGTATTATTTTATGTTGAATTTCAGGTTTGGGGTTCCATACTGCAAGTACAAGGTGGGGTTGGGGCTGAGGAGTGTTGATGTCTCCCATGAATAGGGGAGCAGCTGCTAGACAGCCATATCCTGTGTCCTCTGCCTGGTTCCCGGTTCCTTAGGGGCCCTGGCTGCTGTCCCAGCTCATTTGGAGGAGGGAACTCAACCTGACCTTGATGACAGCAGTGTGATTTCCTGGGCCTGGTTACCTCCCTTAAGTCACGTGGGCTGCGAATGAGCACCAGGTCATGCACGGGCTCAGTCCCTTGTTAACGGAGCTGAGGACAAGGTCTTTCTCTTCTGCAGAGCCTGGGCTAGGTTTCCCATCTTAGGGTAGGGAAAAAGTCATTCATGTTTTACGAGGGAAATTTGAAGTTCAGTATTTGTAGGTAAGCACCTTGAAATGTTTCTCTGGAAAGCACTGTAGAAATACATTATCTCTAATGGCGCTGAACAAGAGTTGTATAGGAACTGTCAGTGCTGATGGATATATTTTCTTTCTGACCCTTCTTTTTAGAACCCACACAGCAGTTAAAATAGCTCCGAGATACAGTGCACCTGTAATCCATGTCCTGGACGCGTCCAAGAGTGTGGTGGTGGTAAGTGGGTGACCTTACATTTTATTCCAGATGTGTTGGAAAGCTTGCATTACAAGTAAGGGTTTAACTTAAGATCTATTCATTTTTATTCAGTTCTACTAAATAAAGGTCAAAGAGCAGCCTGAGGCTCATGGTGTGCCTCTGCAGTGACTGCCTTGCTGGAAGGAGGTCCAGGTGACCATGTCCTATACTTTCAAAGACAATTACAGAACTGAGCAGCAGACAGGTAGATGGCCTGGCACCAAGACATCTTTGACCTGGACACCAACCAGACAAAGATTTCACCCACTCACAAACATGAATAGATGTTTGCTTGACTGTCTAAAAGGAATGTTGGATTTTTAAATGACCTTTTTCCAGATAGAAAAACAAACTCAAAAGTGTCCTAGTTGACCCTACCCAAAGACAGAAAAACATCTGCTAGATATTTAAAACCCAGAACAGTGGTTTCTGCTTCTCTGTGAACATCATAAACAATTCACCCACGTCCTGCTTTTCTCTTTCAGTGAAGCCTAACATTCTATCTTGTTATAGGTTTCATTGTTTTCACTGAATAATGGGATATAACAGCTGGGGTGCACCCGAGAGGCAGTGTGGTCCAGGGGTTTCCAAATTGATTTCAGCCACAGAATCTTTGTCTGTTAAGTGACGTCTTACCTGGAAATTTAGTGTGGCAGAATTTCCAGGTAAGACGTCACTTACCGTCCCATCCCGCTCCTAGTGTCCATCAAAAGAGCACAGTTTGAGAACCACAGATTTAGCCCAGCCTTCACATTGTGCAGGCGAGGAAGGTTACGGAGGTGGCCTGGTGATCTGCGAGACTTCCAGTGATGCCATGCGACCTGGACTAGGGTGACCGCATTTCCTGAGCTACCTTCCAAGGAAATTATTTCAGATCTGCGAATTTATTTACATGAAAGTTATATAATCATCACTAACATTATTGAAAATGTGTAGTGTGCCAGGTACTGAGCTAAGTGCTTTACATGGATTTTATTTAATCCTCAGGCTAACCTCATGATATAGGTATTTTTTGGTCCCCATTTTAGAGATCAGGAGACAGAAGAATAAAGAGATTAGGAACTCTGCTGAGACCACACGTCTGTCAAAGTGGCAGGTGTGGGATTTGAATGCAGGTTATCTTACTCTGTGTTAAATTAAACTTGTTTCCCATTAATATTTAACAATTCTCCTTCATTAAAAAGGATAAAATTAACTCAGTCTGGGATCATAAAATTGCAATTTTTTATTTGCCATTGATGTAGACAAATATGCAAATAAGCTATATTTCTACAACTCAATTTTAAAACAATTTTTGTTTCTTATTCTTGGATTGTGCTCCATAGGAGCTTATGTCAGGTCCATGGCTGAGTGCTGTGGGCCTCTTTTTAACACTTGTCATTATTTTCAAACACTGATGTATAGCCCTGAATAGTTTCCTTTCAGAGGCAAGACTTTTGGATCCATTTAGTTGCACAGTGCCAACCTTTCCTCTATAGGCAGGGGAAAGAATCAGCCCTTTGATTCCATGTTTGGAGGACAAACCCCTTCACCATTTTTTTTTTTTTTTTTGAGACGGATTGTTGCCCTGTTGCCCAGGCTGAGGTGCAGTGGCTCGATCTCGGCTTACTGCAACCTACGCCTCCCAGATTCAAGCAATTCTCCTGCCTCAGCCTCACAAGTAGCTGGGATTACAGGTGTGCACCACCACTTCCGGCTAATTTTTTTGTATTTTTAGTAGAGATGGGGTTTCACCATGTTGGCCAGGCTGGTCTTGAACTCCTGACCTCAAGTGATCCACCCGCCTCGGCTTCCCAAAGTGCTGGGATTACAGGCGTGAGCCACTGTGCCCGGCCTCCTTCACCATCTTGAAGAGCTAGAGCAGTGGGGGCCTTGCTGAAAGCCAGGCAGGGAATGAGGAGTGGGTGTTTGTGCTCTTTCCAGTTTGGTCCAGCCACGCAGCCAGCAGTGGTTAGCTCCTCCCGTGTACAAAGAAACGACCACATTTTGAAATTGCTAAAACATAAGTCAGATGATAAATCATGTGGGTAACTGCTGGTGACACTTCAGGAGCCAGTGGTATAATTTGTTTCAGTTGGTTGTGGGCTCATTGGCTCAGGCTCTTTTGATCTAACTGAAATGAACATGGAACAGGATCACATTTTAGCAGCTATCTCATATATTTGGAAGATTCCAAAAAGATGTAGCAAATACTTAATGGTTGGAGATTTAGACCCTTGCTTTCTTTTTTCTTCTTTAATAAAAAACGAGGTGCCAATATTTTATTCTTTTTAAATTATAAAATATCTTTTCAGTTTACTCCCTCTTATTGTGTGGCTGTTGCCATGAAATGTTATTTTTAAAAATGAAGGAAAATATAAACTGTGATATGTCCCAGTGGTTGGCATGAAAACACATGATGGATTTGATTTTTTGGTGGAAGGATCATGTAGGTTAGCGCACATATTGACCATGAACTTGTTTCCGTCAAGTAAGTCAGACTGGGCCAGAAGGGGCCTGCCACTGTGGCTCTGGGAGCAGCGGGCTTCATGGGGCTGTGCAAGGTGCCAGCAAACTGCAGCGGTATGTTCTGTCTACACAATAGCACCAGCATCAGGGGGTCGTAGATTCTCTGGATGTCAAGGACATCTGGTTTTGCTTTCTCAGAGTGTATAATCTAGCAAAATGCAAGAGGGCTTTAAAACATTGGTTACATACACTTCAGGGAGTTCAGAGTAGGCATTCCCTTCTTGTTTCATTGGGCTGTGCTGGGTTTCCTAAACGAGGACTCCATTGAGGTGAGTTTAATGTAAGGCTGGGGAATACTTTGTGGTGTGAACACTATTTAGGAACCTATTTTTGGCCTGCCACGATGGCCTTTTCTGATTGTATTCCTGAATGAGGTGATTTTGTTTTATACTAACTCATAGGTGATTGGATTGTTATTAGAGATACTTAGAAAACCCACATAGAGTTATAGAATTTTAAAGCTGGTAGGCACTTTAGCCGTCATTCAGTCTGACTTCCTTAAGTTCAGATGAAGATGTTGAACTTTCTTGCCTTTTTGTGTATTAGATAATCCTGCTGGAGAATGCAGGGATGGGGCAGTGCTATGTTTATTTTTTAACTGATGTGATCAGTAGCTGCCGTTTCTTCTTTCTATGTAATTTTATTTTGTGTTTTGATGGTAGCTATTCTTCTATCAACTTGATAATCATAATAACAAATAATATTTAGCTGATCCTACTTTTACAATTTAATGAGTAGACTTCACATTTTCTCAGATTATTGGTTTCCTTTCCAATTTTAGCAGAAAGTCAGTGGACTATGAAGATTAGCCTCATTCCCTCAGCAAACATTTAGTGAGAATGCACCTCCAGACACTGGGCTAGGCACCAGGGGCATGAAGGTAGTGAATGTGTGATTGCAGCTCTCATAGGGCTTTCTAGTAAGGGAAGTGGATATATAAATTGGAACTAAAAGGCTTTGGAAAGTGCAGTAGTAGATGAATAGAATATCTTTGAAACCTTGAGTTGGGAGTTTCTTAACCCAGAGGGTTCCCAAGACCACCTTCAGGTTCAAAGTTTCACTAGAAGGACACAGAGAACCCAGAAACACTGTTATGACCATGGTTTATTGTTGTGAAAGGATATAGGTTAAAATCAGGAAAGGCAAAAGGCACATAGGATGGAATGCAGGAGAGACCAGGTACAGGCTTTCAGGAGTCATCTCCCCCATAGAGTAATCTGGATGGTGCTTATTTCTTCCGCTGATGATATGTGACAACATGTAAGGAGCCTTGCCAACCCAGAAGCTTACCTGAGCCTTCACGTCCTGGGTTTTTATTGGGGGTTGGTCACATAGGCCCAGAATGCCCATGTGTCTAGCCTTAATTGTTCAGTCTTCAGTCCCTGCAGAGGTCAAACATAAGCATGAGCGAAGGTCCCCCACCATAAATCAGACTGTTAGCATAAACGATGTGACGTGGCCCAGGGTGCCAGGTATACAGTGACTCTCTTATCAGGCAGGCTGTCCCAAGGGTTTAGAGTTTGTCTCCCAGAAACCAGTCAAAGGCCAGTCCCTTCTTTGGCTTGTGCAGGGTTTGAACATCCCAAGCCCACTGAGTTTACCTTTTCCTGCACGCCAGGCAGGAATTAGCACAGTTGGTGAAGGGAGAAGAAATGAAGTTAAGGAAGCCTTCCTGAAGGAGGTGTTATCAGCATTGACCATTACTACACCAGTTTTATCATCTTTTGCTCATCTATGGCTATCTTGCATTTTCAGTGTTCCCAGCTGTTAGATGAAAATCTAAAGGATGAATACTTTGAGGAAATCATGGAAGAATATGAAGATATTAGACAGGACCATTATGAGTCTCTCAAGGTAAGTGGTAGAAACAGATTTTTGCTTGTTTTTAATGTGACTGTTTTTTATGATCCTAGTTTTTAATGTGACTTTTTAAAATGGTTTTGAGGAGTGTAAAAGGCTTTGGATCATTTTAGAGAATTTCTGTCTTCTAGTTCAAATCAGAGGTCTTCAGTGTCTTAAGTTCCCAAATAATTTTTGGTTGTATTGAAATGAATTTTATTTATTCAGCCAAACATTTACTGGGTACCCAGTAGGTGTTAGGGGCTGTGCTAGATATCAGAACTATGGTAATGAATAAAACATGAGTTCATACTCAGCAGGGAAACAGGTGCTGAAACAGTGTACTGAAATGACTCCCACAGACCCCCATTCTTCAGGAGCTAATGGAAGAAAATGGAGACATGAGGCAGGACCAGTATAAGCCTTTTGCCTGACTGCCCAACACTGACTGTGCAGAATGATGTTTTAAGAACTGTCCGTCTCTTGATCAGCTTCAGGGAATCCATGGAGAACAGGCATAATTAGGCTTTGGAAGTCACTGAAATATTTCTTTCCGGTTATCTGCCTTCTGGGCTTTGGTGGGAGCATTTTGGGAGTTGCTAGGCAAGTGAAATGAGATCAACAGCATGAGGAAAACACGCTGTTTTGCTTCTGAGGTGGTAGGTAGGCCAAGACGCAGTGGTTGGCTTTTTTCTCTCTCCTTAGGTTCGCCCACAGTGGACAGTTTCTTTAATTCTACCTTCTGGTCCTCAGGGTGGGCCATGGAAGACCAGTTAACAGCTGACCTCAGGTGTTCTAAAAGTACAGGTCAGACACCCCTAGTACCTCAGGTTCAGGCCGCAGAACTAGGCTCGTATTTATATATCAGCAGTTAATGGATGCTTATTAAGTCTTTACTATCTATTGTTCTGGTGCCAATGTGAAACCGACTGGGTAGAAAAGGAAGAGCTTTTTAGAATAAACATTCTCATGAATAAGAGCATTTGCTTTCTTGCAAAGCTTACATACTGGCCTTCTTGGACATGTTTTCACAGTAGTTGTAGAAAAGCTAAGAGTGTCTAACTAATTTTTCTTTGTTTTTTAACAGGAGAGGAGATACTTACCCTTAAGTCAAGCCAGAAAAAGTGGTTTCCAAATGGATTGGCTGTCTGAACCTCACCCAGGTCTGTTTGGCTATGGACTAGAGAAAGACTGGGTGTGGTAACTGACAGTGTGCTGAGGAAATACATGCATTTACTTGGCTGCAAAATCAAACCAGCAGCTAACGACTCTCAACTGTGTCTAATGCTGATGAGTGACTGATGACTGGAAAGAAAGGGAATAGGTACCATTTATGGAGCAGGTGTTGTGTGCCAGATACCATCCTGAGATGGACTCATAGCAGCTCTCTGAGTCCTTCAGACAACTCCATAATGGACATGGGAATTATCTGCATTTTAATTTGAAGAAACTGAGTTTTGGGTGGAAACTTGAAAGGTTACTAGGAATCTCTCTCTGGTCTGTCTTCTAAAGCCATGCTCTTTCCTCTGTGCTGTGCTTGCGTGGGTCCCCGTCTCCTTGAAGGAAGTTCTGTGGAAACCTGCCTGGGTGGTACTGTCACCTGAGGTGGCCTGGGTCTTTCGCAGGCCCAGGGGCAGATGTGAAATGTCTAAAATGGGAAACGCCTTTGCATTCACACATCTTTAAAACACTGCAGCAAAGCAGGATCCTCTATTTCTTGCTTTCTCTCTGTCCTCTCTCTGGATGTTTCCCTCTCTTTTTATTTCTTTTATTTGGTTTCTTCCTTTTTTTAAATTTCTAGCCACCTTTCTTGCCTCATATAGGTGTTCACAAGGGAATAAAACGTGTAAGATGTTTTGACAGGCGCAGAGAGGCGTGAGACACAAATGCAAAACCAAGATAGAGTGAACAGGGGTTATATTAATTGAATCCATATTTCCAAGGTAATGTATCAAATCAGCTTTCATTGCTCACGACATCTGTGTTCTACACATGCTTGGCAGAGTTGAGCGGATTAAATTGGAAATGTAGGTGTGCTTGGTTCTAATTTCATCCTTGCTGAGTTCAGCGTGGTTTGGTGGAAAGAATGCCATATTGGGAGCCTGGAGCTCGGGGTTCTCATCCCAACGTGGCTCCTGACTCTGACTCACGGAGTGACCTTGAGCAGCTTGCTTCCACGTTTGACAGTTTTTACCACGTAAAAAAAGGAGTTACTTTTTGGAAATGTTGTGAGGGTAAAATATTCTGTGAAAACCTTTGAAAAAATATAAATTGCTGTATAGTTCAAGCTCCGATTATTTGCTCTGTATCTTTCCCTGTGAAATTGGAATAATAACACAAGGGCAAGTCTGTTTGGATTAATTCAAACATCCAAAACGTATTTTGCTGGAAATACCCTCCAAAGGCCCACAGCACCTGGCAGCGGTTGGGATGCTTTTTTAGTGGCCGCTTTAACCTCTGGCATGGGCTACTGCAGGGTCCGCCCTGCTGCCCCAGGGCCATGGGCCACTGAGGGCTGGCCCTCTGAAATATGTCTTGAGGACAGCCAGTCCTAGGGTAGTTGCAGGAAGTCGGTAGGGAATAAAAGAGGGTTTTCTTTTACGGCCCTGATGGTAACACCTCAAACATTTCTTAAATTCTGGGAGACGAGAGAGTCCATCAGTGGCTCTGCAGCAGCATGTTCTCTCTGCCTTCCCAGGCGGGAGGACGCTTGAATCAAGGGTCTATCTGTAGATTCCTTTTAGTTTCTCTACTAAGGGGACTATAAAGGCTTTGTTACCAACAAACCAACATAATAGGATATTTCCAAAGAAGGGATTGTCCCGTGTAGTAGAAGGATGATGAGGAACAAATGGGAAAGGGCTACCGTGAACAAGTATGAAAAGGTAGAGATTTCCAGGCAGGAGTAAGAAGTCAAATGAGAGAAAAATACTCTAGAAGCTTCTGTGTTCTCCCAGAGCCCCTGAGATTGGTAGAATAGGAAGTTCCCTGATCCCTGGTTACAAATCAGGAAGTAGAGAGACAGGAAGGCTCGGATACGGCAATGGAGCCAACACCTTAGACTCCAGCCTAATCCTGCCATGTCAGACCAGAGTCTGAGGTGCAGACCACACTACAGTCTGGAGGGCAGATGGCAGTGCTGCTCTACCTGCCCCAGAAAGCCCAGCAGCACCATCTGTCTCTGAAGTCTTCACCATTATTTAAATTATGATGTATTTTAGACTCACCAGGAGGTATAAAGAACAATATATTAAACATCCACGTATACCCACTAGCCAGCTTAAGACATAACCTACCATCTGATTTTTAAAAAACGAAACAATGCAGAGTGAACAGAGGTTATATTAATTGAATCCATATTTCTAAGGTAATAAATCAGCTTTTCCTTGCTCATACATCTGTGCTGCACACATGCTTGGCAGAGTGGAGGATTATGTATTGAGGAGTATGTATCGGAAGTCCCACATGTGTCCCTTCCTCCCCTGCAGAAAGCACAGCAGTCCTGAATTTGGGACTTCATTTGCCTATACTTTGAGCATATGTGTCAGTAGACAATCTAGATGATTGTTTCCGGTTTTGAAACTTTAGATAAGTAGCTTACTCTCCATGTCTTTCTGGACATGTTCTTCATGTTCTTTCATGTTCTTCATGTTCACCTTGTCTTCATTTGTGCAAGTGAGGATTAACCCGTCTGTCTTTCCTTCTTGGGCAGGGGGTGGGGATGGAAGGGTTGAGGGAACAGTTTCCAAGGGTGGTGTAGTCAGCTGCATGTGAAGAATAGTTTTATTTAAGACTCAGTGCAGAATTACTCCTTCTCCACGATAATTTAAAGTTCCCCTCTTTGTAAAACAACTCCTACGGGTGACAGGAGGGAGGCGGAGTGTGGGAGTTGGCAGAGCAGTGAGGAGCTGGCAGGGAGGCCTCCATCAGGCAGGGTGCCAGCGTCAGCATTGACAACCATACTTCTCTCCTGTAGTGAAGCCCACGTTTATTGGGACCCAGGTCTTTGAAGACTATGACCTGCAGAAGCTGGTGGACTACATTGACTGGAAGCCTTTCTTTGATGTCTGGCAGCTCCGGGGCAAGTACCCGAATCGAGGCTTTCCCAAGATATTTAACGACAAAACAGTAGGTTAGTGCAGTAAGTCCTTCCTTTCTGCCTCTGATATTCAAGCTGTGGGATTGTGACTTTGAAGACCGGAATCGGTGAGGAGCAGTGGATTTGGATTGTGCAGATTACGGCTGCTTTCATATTGCTCACCTGCCCAACTTTTTAATGGTTTTCAATCTGCTAGATTGGTCCTTATTGCATCAACTAAATTTGGTATTTACTTTATTCTTTCAATAAATGTTTATTGACATCAGTTACATGCTGAGCACTAGGGATAAATGGAAGACAATATAATCCCTGCTGTCTAGCACCTGACTAGCTGGCACATCCAATAGTAATGGGCCCTGCCTGGGCTCCTGTGGACATAAGAGGAGATAGAGCTCAGACTGGGAGGTCAGGGCAGGCTTCCTGGACAAGGTGGTGTTCGAACTGTTTTTGACGATTCAGTGGGAGTTGCCGTGGCTGGGACTGTGGATGTGATATGGTGTTGAAGAAAAGGTCATTCCAGGTAGAGGAGACAGTGTGAGAAGGCACAGGCACATGTGCCTATTTGGGGAACTGCAAGGAGCCCATTGTGCTTGGAGCATTGGGGAGGGAATGGGGATTTAGGGTGATAAACTAGAGAAGTAAGTGAGGTGTTAAATTACTACCCCCACTTCTCACTTCTAGCCTTACCCCAGAATCCACCGACAGAGACACGGAATCCAAATGCAAAGCCATTCAAAGGATCAGGTAGTAGCCAGATCAGAGCAGCAGGGAGGGGTAGACTCACAGAAGCATGGGATTAGGGCTGAGAGGAGCCTAGAAACCAGCCTTTTGCCAAGTTTCCCACGGGGGGGCGTGCCTGGGTGTGCGTGTTCGGATGCTGAGACTCAGGAACTCTCAGGTAGTCAGGAACGTGGTGATGAGCAAGGGGCTTCTTAGTGTGCTGCCCCTGAATCATCACAGGTGAGCTGTCCAGGGGCCGTGGGACAGGCTTCTCACCATGGGCAGGGTGGCCGAGTCTCACGGAAACCGAGATGGTGTCCTCGGAGGCTGGCTCCCACTGCAGGTCCGGGAGCAGGCCAGCCCAGGTGCAGCATTGAAGCCACATGTGAGGATTTGGGCCACACTTCACCCCTTACCACTAACGTTCCCTGTACACATACAATTCCACTGACTTCACAGCGACCTCTGGGGGACGGGGCCTGTGCCTTATATTCACCATGCTTTGTATTCTGTGGTGTCTGGGCCTGGACGCATACAGTGAGGATTTACCGAGTCTGAGTGCATAGGGTGAGGATGTAGCTGTCCTTGTTTAACTCTTCATGGTACTGTTGAAGGCCCCAAATTGAAGAATCCCTTCAGAGGTTGTTACGGTCAAAATGTCAATCGTTACGAATTATATTGTAGTTGGGATTAAAAGCACCACGGAATACGAGGCACAGGTCGCGTCTCCCAGAGGTCACTGCAAAGTCAGTGGAGTTGTATGTGCACGAGGAATGTCAGTGAGGAATGTGGCCTGCTCTTTCTCATCCTCTCTGACAGAATGCTTTGGGGAGCCACAGCTTTGGCTCTCTGCTTTTTGTCCAGTGGAAAACTTGAGTGGCTTGAACTGGGAGAAGCAGACTGTGGGAGCTGCACTTAGCAGGAGCCGCAAAGCCCTGGCTGTTCCACTTTAAGCTGGGTCAGTGGCAAACACCAGAAAGCATTTGAGGAAAATGGAGAAGCCTGAAGAGGGAAGGTGACTGAGGAGGGGTAATGGCTTTTAAAAGAAGCATTGTTTGATGGTTATTTTTGGCATCTTTAAGTGAATTCTAATTCTGTTTTTCTAATAGGTGGAGAGGCCAGGAAGGTCTACGATGATGCCCACAATATGCTGAACACACTGATTAGTCAAAAGAAACTCCGGGCCCGGGGTGTGGTTGGGTTCTGGCCAGCACAGAGTATCCAAGACGACATTCACCTGTACGCAGAGGCTGCTGTGCCCCAGGCTGCAGAGCCCATAGCCACCTTCTATGGGTTAAGGCAACAGGTATGGAAGGTGTACTGACAGCCAGCACACCGCTTTCGCTTGTGAGTTTAAGCACTACACAAAAGAGCTTTGCATAAATGAGGGTCTGCTTCACCTCCTCCCAAATGACCAATCACATGCCCAAGAAGTGACCAGTCACACGCCCAAGCCCAAGCCATCTGTGAGGACGAGGGAGAGAAGGCGCCACCATGGGTGTCAGAGGCAGGACCACTCAGCAGGAGTGAGGCGTTTAATATTGTGTTCCATGGATGGGCGAGGACCATTGCTGCTGTCTCAGGTGGTCACGTGTCAGGATCTCAGTCTTCTTAGCTTCTGAAGAAAGAGAACACTCACTTGTTCAAAAACGTAGGTTAATATCTATGCATATTATTAAAATAGACTGTCAGGTGGCTTCCCTTGAAAGGGGAAGACAGGTGGAAACAAACATTTGCAGAATGTATACCAGGTGCCAGGTGCATAGTAAGGTGCTTGATGGTCATGCTTTTAATTTCCACACAGCCGTGTGAGGCAGTTTAAGTTTGTGTTTTACAGAGAAGATGAAGGATGATGGAGATTGTGCTGGGCCCCCCAATATAGAGAGGAGAGCCCAGCCTGTACATATCCCCAGTGGCCGTTCTTTGACTGTGCTGGCTTTTTTTCTTTCGAGTGACGAGAACAGACTCTTCTCAGCAACTTGTCTCTCATCCCCCCCACCTTTGAAAAGGCAAATATCATATGCATGTCCCTTTAGCTGCTGTAAAAAAGAGTGTCTTAATCAAGAATTGGAACCAGAATTCACCAGAGTCATTAACAAATTTAATAATTTGCAGAAAATTACTCTGTTTTACTGCCATTTTCAGTCGTTCAGAAATAATAATGTTGGCTGGGCACAGTGGCTCACACCTGTAATCCCAGCACTTTGAGAGGCCAAGGTGGGAGGATTGCTTGAGCCTAGGAGTTTGAGACTAGCCCCGGCAAGATGGCAAGACCCTGTCTCTACAAAACAAATTTAAAAATGAGCCGTGCACTGGGGAGTGCAGGCCTGTACTTCTTCAGCCAGCTACTCGGGAGGATGAGGCGGGAGGATCACTTGAGCCTAGGAGATCGAGGCTGCAGTAAGCCATGATCATGCCACTGTATTCCAACCTGGGCAACAGAGTGAGACCCTGTCTCTAAAAAACAAACAAAAAAGATAGTGGCGCATTTTAATCCCAACCACAATATAATTCATAATCATCCATATTTTTACCATAACAGCATCTGAAGGGATTCTTAAATTTGGGGCCTTCAGCAGTACCATGAAGAATTAAACAAGGACAGCTACATCCTTACCATATGCACTTAGGCTCAGTAAATCCTCACTGTATGCGCCCAGGCTCGGACGCCACAGAATATAAGGCACTGGGGTTCTAATGTTAAGTTCCAGCCCCTCCTCACTAGGGAATTTGTGGCTATTCTTTTACAGACATAACTGTTCAAAAACCTCTGCTCTAGCCCAGTCTTTCATCTTTCAAGTCCTGTGTCCTCTGCGATCTCTTTTTACTTTCAGTACCATTCATGTCCGGGCAGTCTGTGACATATTAGGGCATTTAATAGAATGAATTCTCAGAGTTCACCTTTTTAGTAGCCTCTGGAGAGGGGAACTGGGCCAGGCACATACATTACCTACCCAGGTAGCAATTTCTCAGGAGGGGCTTTCCTCCAGTGCACTCTGGAACATTCTGGTGGCAGTGCCTTATTACTCTGGGAGTCTGCTCTTCTGAGTAGGCTCTGATTGCTGTCTCTTCGAAGGTACCATGGGGCTCTGTGATCTCTCTCTCCTGTGGCGCAGGGAAGCTTTGGGTCCCCCTCTGGCCTTTGTTAGCAAAGAATAATTGATGGGCCGAGTATACCTGGAAAACGGCTTCCCCATGCACAGCTGTCCCTGAGCTCTGTGACATTCCTGTGTGCCATTACCAAACACCTCCTCGCCTGTACTTAACAATTTCCTGCCCTGTGTCAATGAAGCTGTACTTGCTTCCACGGCGGGCAACGAGCTGTGAAGTGTGTGGGTTGGCCACTCATTGATTAATTGATCAGTCCTGAGCAGTACCATATATGTAGACGCATGGGTTGTGGTACCAGCCCCCTGGCCCCTCCCACTGTCTGACCTTGGGCCAGTTGATCAAGCTTCCTATGCCCCTGATTTCTTGTCTGTAAAATGGAGCTGATGGTATCACCTATGTCACAAGGTGGTTGAGAGGGTTAAATAGTAATTCATATAAAGCACCAAGAGCAGGCATACAGTAACCACTGAATGAGTATTATAAGCTATTTACCTTCTCAGCAAATATTTATTGATTTTTTTAATATGTATAAGACTTTATTTGTTACCTTAGTTGCAGGGAAGAGTTGCTTATGAGCTGAGGGTGAAAAATGGGGGAGGGTAGGCCCCAGGGCTGTGGAGAAAATCCAGAAGCAAATCCTGCTGAATTCTTGGTTTGGTGCCCAGCCAGCCCTGGGTGTCCTCAGCCGGCTCCTGTATGACCCTTGACCCCACCCCACATGGCAGGCAGCACATGGCCTGGGCATCGCTGACCCCAACAGTTTGTTGTTTGAGCTGCTGCTGTTGATGGAGAGTGGAGGCGCTTCCATTTATTGGATCTCTTTTGAACATGGTGCTGGACTTAATTGAAAACACTTGGGGACAAATTTTTTTTTTTTTTTAAACCGTGACTTTAGCACAGTGCCTGAAGGCATTCAGTAAATGTTTGGTCAGTGTGTGAATGAGCCAGTGAACTGGTGTCTTGACAATTTATGTTACGTCATGTCATACATTTTTTAAAAATCTCATTTCATTTGTTTATCTTACAAATATTTATTGGATACTCACTATGTGTCAGACACAATTCCAAGTACTGGGGATGTAACAGTGCACAATACAGGCTGCCATCTGTGCGTTGTGAAGCTTATTCTCATTTGACGATACCCGATTGCTCTTCATGGTGTGCTGGCGCCACGTTCTTGCTAACGGCGCCCCCGCACACTCCTACACTCCTTGGTTTTAAGGCTGAGAAGGACTCTGCCAGCACGGAGCCATACTACTGCCTCTCAGACTTCATCGCTCCCTTGCATTCTGGCATCCGTGACTACCTGGGCCTGTTTGCCGTTGCCTGCTTTGGGGTAGAAGAGCTGAGCAAGGCCTATGAGGATGATGGTGACGACTACAGCAGCATCATGGTCAAGGCGCTGGGGGACCGGCTGGCAGAGGTAAGGCAGAGGCATTGCGCCGAGGGGCTGAGGACAGAGGCCAGGCAGTAGGGAGCCTGGGGTGGGTGCCTGAAGACTGATCAGCCCTTAGAACCAGTGTCTTTTTTTTTTTTTTTCTTGAGATGGATGCTGCTGGCTTTAACATTATACGTATTTTAATATTATGTATCCCCAGATTGCTTGTGTACATTATCTTTGAGGCAAAGAAAAACCTTGAATGGTGCCACAGTTGGCTGTTGCTCTTAGAGCCTTTATCTCTACCTTATCTCTGTTGTCTCTCTTTGCTTGTTGTGATGTGACATTTTCCTCAGTACCCCAAAAAATTAAAAACAAATTTTTATTTCAGAGCCCCTCGTTGTAATGCTGGTGTCATCTATAGATTCTTCATCTTCCTCTGCATGGAATGAGGGTAGTAGCCTTTGCCCTGGGGAGAGCCTCTCCCTTTTCCTGCAGTGAACAGTGGAGGAACTAGCAGCTGTATGGTCCCAGCTGCTCTTTCTGGCCCGTGGAGCTTTGGATTGACCTTTAGGGAAATCGTTAATTTTAAGGTCTAAAATCTTTAGGTCATTAAGTATGGTCCTTCAGAGCTCAGGTTGAGGCCAAAATTGAGCTGCAGAGCAGCAGCTGATGAAAGTACAAACCAATCAAGAATCCAGCCTGTTTCCTCTTGTCAAATTTCCCCTGGCTGTGGTCCAGATGAGGGAGGGTGTCCTCATGGTTCTAATTCAGGGGGTGGAGGCTGCACTGATGCTGTGAGCCCCTGCGTCTGCCTAAGCATGCCTGCTGCTTTGGGTCCCAAGGCCTTTGCAGAAGAGCTCCATGAAAGAGTTCGCCGAGAACTGTGGGCCTACTGTGGCAGTGAGCAGCTGGACGTCGCAGACCTGCGCAGGCTGCGGTACAAGGGCATCCGCCCGGCTCCTGGCTACCCCAGCCAGCCCGACCACACCGAGAAGCTCACCATGTGGAGACTCGCAGACATCGAGCAGTCTACAGGTAGGAGCCAGGAGGCTGCGGGTTCCTGTCTTCCTTCTTCAGTAGATACTCTTATCAGCATACTGGCACTTAGGGTTAAACATGTTTTTAAAATGGAAGGGCTTCTAATCACATTGTCCCTTATGCTGTCCTTTTTCACTCGTAGCTATTCTGCATTTTACTTCAGTATTACTGATTAGTATTCTTACATCATTATTTTTAGATGTATCAATTTAAATTATTTCCTCTTGGCCTACGCCAGATGGGAGTTTAGCTTATGTATACCATCCTGTGCCTCTCCTGCCCCAGTTTCCTGTCACAGGCATGGTGATGTCTTTAATCCCTCCCTTAGAGACCGACCTTTGTCCCTCAGTAATGTCACTTTGCTTCATGCTCTTGTCTCATTGCTTGTGGATGGTGTCCCTGGGTGCTGGTCTTGCAGAGCGCCCAGCCTTCCCTTCAGCCCTCTTTTCTCTTTACTTTTACACTGTTAGTAACATTTATATTCTTCTGTAATCATAATTCTCTGTTATGTTTTGCCTGTGGATTGATTCTAAAAGCTGAAAATGACAAGCTGGCATGTGCCTTTCTGAGACAAAGGCCCAGACACCCGGCCTCAGCGTCCTGTGCCCAGAGCTGACTTGGCTCGTGGTTCTGTGGCTGCACATTGTCATGTCAATGTCCTGGTTCTGTCATTACTGCAGAGTTCATGTAGTTGAGATGGCCCAGGCTAAGCTCACAGTTTTCAGCGGAATTAATAAAAAGCATGCCATCAAAGCTGATAAAGGCATCCAGATTTAAGTGAGAAACCATGAGCTGTGCTGAATCTGCTTCAGCAGGAACAACACTAACTCTAGGAGTCATGAGATCTGGGTTTGAGTCCTGTTTCTGCCATAAGCTAGCTGGGCGACCTCTGGCAAAGCACTCACCCTTCATGTTGCTCTGTTTCCTTGTTCATAGAATGAGTGGCTTCGAATAGATATCCTTGAGGGTCTGTTTGAGCTCTCAGATCCCAAGGAAAACTGTCTCTTCTTTCTCACAATGTTGTGGGTTCCTTCTTCACTGGAGCTCTCAGTCGTCCCTAGTATCAGTGGCCGCACAGAGCCGGTGGAGGCTGTTCAGTTGTTGTTCTCATCTCCAGGGGTAGAGCTCCTGCCTGAGAAGGTCTAGGCTTAGGAGCAAATTAGGGCACCTGTAACTGATCTGGGATGGCTGGAGGTGGGAGTGTAGAGTCTTTCCCAGGCCTGTCCCCCTGGGTTAGAGGAGATCTGCATGTCCCGAATTTGTTTCTTCACCTGGCAGGAATTTGCTAGACTTCTCTGATCACAGCTTTCATGCTGTGTCATGTGTCTACCTAGAAGGCATGAGCTCGCTTTGGTTCACTTGTTCAACAAGAGTTCATTGAGTGCCTGCTAGCTGCAGGCCCTGTGCTAGACACTGAGTCCATAAGCATTTTCCCTGTGTTGCTCCCTCTAGGCATTAGGTTAACAGAATCATTAGCAATGGCACCTGCTTCAGCAGTCTCAGGCCTCTACTTCTCCAATTTGAAGTCCAAATATTTTGCTGTGGGGAAGATTTCCAAGGATCAGGTAAGCTAGCTGTTGCATTATATGTGGCTTGCCTAGTTCAAATGAAATTCTAGAACCTCTCTCATTTTAAATGTGAATGAGAATAAAGTGAGGGGAAAGGATGAAGAAATTTACTCCAGTTAATGTCTTAATTTGATTTCAATAGAATACCTCTATTCTAGCCCTCACTTCTACATGCAAGCCACACACACGCACACACACACACACACACACACACACACACACATACAGCTTCTAAGCATCAGATGTTTACTACATGTTTTTCTGCCCAGAGAAAAAGGCAACTTGGTAGATAAATATCTATCTCCATTTAACTCTGTAGATTGCTATTAAGACAAGAAATGCAAGGTACTTAATGTTTCTTGGCAAATCTTGTGGAAACTTCTATTCCAAAAGTCTTATCATGTTGGTTTAATAAAATGCTTCTCATCTTTTGCAGGTTGAGGATTATGCATTGAGGAAGAACATATCTGTGGCTGAGGTTGAGAAATGGCTTGGACCCATTTTGGGATATGATACAGACTAACTTTTTTTTTTTTTTTGCCTTTTTTATTCTTGATGATCCTCAAGGAAATACAACCTAGGGTGCCTTAAAAATAACAACAACAAAAAACCTGTGTGCATCTGGCTGACACTTACCTGCTTCTGGTTTTCGAAGACTATTTAGTGGAACCTTGTAGAGGAGCAGGGTCTTCCTGCAGTGCCTGGAAAACAGGCGCTGTTTTTTTGGGACCTTGCGTGAAGAGCAGTGAGCAGGGTTCCTGTGGTTTCCCTGGTCCCTCTGAGATGGGGACAGACTGAAGACAGAGGTCGTTTGATTTCAAAGCAAGTCAACCTGCTTTTTTCTGTTTTTACAGTGGAATCTAGGAGGCCACTTAGTCGTCTTTTTTTCCTCTTAGAAGAAAAGCCTGAAACTGAGTTGAATAGAGAAGTGTGACCCTGTGACAAAATGATACTGTGAGAAATGGGGCATTTTAATCTAAGTGGTTATAACAGTGGATTCTGACGGGGAAGGTGTAGCTCTGTTCTCTTCGGAAGACCTCGTTTTCTAAAGGCTGGACTAAATGGCTGCAGAACTCCCTTTGGCAAAAGGCATGCGCTCACTGCTTGCTTGTCAGAAACACTGAAGCCATTTGCCCCAGTGTGGTCAAGCAGCCATGCTTTCTGGGCATTTTCGTCCTCCCATAATTTCATATTTCCGTACCCCTGAGGAAACAAAAAGGAAATGAGGAGAGAAAGTTACTGTTAAGGGTGGTTAACATTTTTTTTGTTTTGTTTTGTTTTGGTTTTTTTTTTTTTGAGACAGAGTCTGGCTCTGTCGCCCAGGCTGGAGTGCAGGGGCGCAATCTCGGCTCATAGCAAGCTCCGCCTCCTGGGTTCATGCCATTCTCCTGCCTCAGCCTCCAGAGTAGCTGGGACTACAGGTGCCCGCCACCACACCCGGCTAATTTTTTGTGTTTTTACAAAATACAAAAAAGTAGAGACAGGATTTCACTGTGTTAGCCAGGATGGTCTTGATCTCCCGACCTCGTGATCTGCCCACCTCAGCCTCCCAAAATGCTGGGATTACAGGCGTGAGCCACCGAGCCTGGCCGGTTAACATCTTTTAATTGTTTCCAGGATTGAGCAGGTTCTCAGCTGGGCTCTGATATCCCGTGCGGAGTTGGACAAGTGGGCAGCATAAAGTCACTCATTTCTTACCATTTTATTCCCCTCAATTCTCAATATATTCAGTAATGAAGAATGGTGCCACCACTCAAGCAACAAGCCTCAAACTCAACCATGTCATCTTTTTCTTGGATGATTGCAGTTATTTCAAAAATTTGCATGCAAAATATACACTCATCCTACTTCAAGATGGTGGTGGCAATAGTCAGGAGAAGGTAACATTGGAGTCCTGGTTTGATTCGAAGGATGAAGACGAAGAAGCAAGGGAGGAACAAATGAAGAACCATCTTTGTTCATGAATAGGAATATTCAAGATTATAAAGGTATCAGGTCTCCTAAAATTGATCTATGGATTTAATACCATTTTCAATGGAAATTCCAACAGATTTTATTGAATGAAACAAGCAGGTGTTTATATGGAGTAGCAAAGGACTTAAAATTACCAAATGCTTCTAAATATGAAGGAGAGGTTGGGGACACGCACCCTATGTGATACCAAGTTTTATTGTCAAGACAGTGTCATGGTGCAGAGGTAGGCATTCTGAGCAGGGGAACAAAATAAGGGCCTAGAAACTCACCCGTGCATATGTTGACCTTTGCAAAATGACCTGGTGACATGGCAAGTCAGTGGGGACAGGAAGGACCACTCCCTAAGTAATCCCAGAACAATGGCTATTCATGTGGGAAAAAAAGAAATTTTACTTTCTCTCACCTTACCTGGTGATAAGTTCCAAATATGTTAAGGGCTTTAATACAAAAAGCAAAAATTGTCAGTGTTTGGATGAAAAAAGCCTTAGGGCAGGAAAGAATCTCTTGAGACATAAAGTAGTAATCATAAAGGACAAGATGGTTAAGTCAATTCTGTTAAAACTCAAGGCTTATATTAAGCAAACACTTGAAGTGAGAAGATGATCCACAACTTGAGAAGACATTTATAATACAAATAACTGATGAAGGATTCATAATCACAAATATAGAGAATTCCTATTTAAAAAAATAGAAAAATAGTGAAGACTACACAAGAGGAAATAGGGCTTTTAAATAAATAGATGTTCTGTAGCATTGGTCAGGGAAATATGAATTAGGACCACAATGAGATTCCATTTTATATCCATAAGATTTGCAAAGGTTGGGTCTGACAGTACCAGTTGTTAGATCTGTAGGGACTTGTACAACATTGTGGATGTGTAAACAGGCACCACTGCTTTAAAAAACAATTATCCCTTACAGACTTGAACATTTGCAGACGTTATGATCTTGCTTCCAACTCCCACCTGTATGTCCAGCAAACTCTTGCATGTGGCCACTAGGAGGAATGTGTAAGAATGTTCATAGTTACATATTTATAATAGTTAATAACTGGAAAAAGTGAAATGTATGTCTGTCTACAGGAAAATAGGTGAATAATTAGATATATATATTCATTCTACGGGATATTATTCAGTAGTGGAAATGAGTGAACTACAGCTATACCTCACAATAAGAATGAATCTCAGAAAATATTAAGGAAAAAAGCAAGTTTGAAGAGACCACATGGGGCGTACTATTTTTATTGAGCCCAAAAACAAGCAAAACCAAAGAATATGTAGTCTAAGCATACGTATACAATAAAACTATGCTATTAAAAAAAAAGAAGGTAACTGATAAACCAAAATTGAGCATAGTAATTACCCACAGAAGGAGGAAGTGGAAGGGACAGGAGCACATAGGTAGATGCCAAGTTATGCAGCTGTTCTGGTTCCTCCTGGTAGGCTTACAAGTGTTTACTATATGCTATTAATACATTATACTTTATAACTAATAGATAACAGTTTTTTACATATTAAATATGTTCTACTTAAATATATTATAAAAAATAAAGGCAAAGTGGAATGATAACCTAAAATCTGGTATGGTGATTTTGTAGGTAATGTTTGTATATGTCAAATACAGTTTTTAAGGAAAGGAAGAACATCTTAGGGTAAACAGCAGCTAGAAAGGTGAGGGGCAGGAGAGTGGTGCATCCTTGCTGCTGCCAGCAGTGCCCAGATACCAGGCTTTGGGGAATGAGTGGATGGCTGGACCATTTGCTAAGACAGAGGCCAGGGGATGGGAGAAATGATGAGTTTTGGAAAGATTCGATGTGACTAGACTGAATATAGGCAGTTGGATACTAGACTTTGGAATTTAAAAAGAATGTCTGGAGTTAGAATTGAGAGACTTGAACGTGGAGATGGAGGTCAGGCTGCAGTGCGATGGGATCATCTATGGAGCATATGAGGAGAAGAGAATCTGGAGGAGGAGGAGGGGGAGCCAGCAGGGGAGCAGCTGTGGGTTGGAGGAAGCCAGGAGGGAGAGTGCAATGCCGAGAAAGCAATGAAGAGCGTTTCGAAGCATGCCAGCAGAACCCAATGCTGCAAAGAGGCCTGGGAATGGGATTGCTGAGGGCCCTTCTCACAGTGAGCCCCTCAAGAGCAGCGTCAGGGGATTGTGGGGACTGTTGGCACACAGCTGGCTTTGCTAGGTTGAAGACAATGGGAGGTGTGGAAGACTTGTTGACTCATTTAAAGAAGATTGGAGGGAAAGGTAGGATTGAGAGTGTTTCAGACAGAAAAAGGATTATATGCTGAGGGTAAAGCACAAGTACAGAGGGTTGCAGATAGTGCAGAAGTCTTTAAAAACAATTATTTTAACCCAACTTCCAGGGAGACTGAATTTCTTCTGCCAGTCAGTAACACCATCAACCTGGGAGTTGCCCCTGACCCCTCCAGTCTTAGCTCCTGCTCCTGTAACAAAATACCACAAACTGGTTAGCTTATAGAGAACAGATGTTTATTTCTTACAGTTCAGGAGTCTGGAAGTCCAAGATCATGGTGCCATCATGGCCGAGTTCTGGTGAGGGCCCTCTTCTGGGATGCAGCGGCCAGCTTCTCATGTTCTCACAGTGGGTGGAGGGTAAGCTTGCTCTCTGGCCTCCTCTTAAAAAGGCACTAATCCCATTCATGAGGGCTCCACCTTCATGACCTAATTACCTCCCAAAGATGCCATCTCCAAACACCATCATTCTGGGGATTCCATTTCAACATGATTTGGGGGATACATCAGACCATAACACTTTTCTTTTTCTCAACCTTCACATCCAGTTGGTTCTCAAGCCCTGGCGATTTTACGCGCTAGATAGGTCTTAAGTTCATCTCTACGCCTGCCCTGGTTAAGGTTCTCATCATTTCTCCTCTGGATTCATCTGCAACACAGGCTGCCGGGTTGGTTCCCACCTCCTAGAGCTGGAAGAGTGGGCTCTCTGATTCTTTACACCCCCGCCTCAATCCTCCTGCTGCCTGAATAACCATCTCCCCGTGACCTAGGATATATCCCAGCCCCTTAGAGGCATGCAAAGCCTTCCATGTCTGACCCTGCCTCATGTCTTGGAAGCCCTAGACTGCTGCTGTACCCTGAAGGAGGTACCTGCTCACATTGGCCCCTCTGTCTGGAATAACCCCACCCCGGTTCCACCCAAGTCAGGAAAGCTTCCCAACCCCTCCCTCCCACCACCCCAAAGCTAAGTGAAGTGACCCCTCTTCTTGCCTCTGTAACACCGCCATGCACATTTCATACAGCCCTTGCTGAAACTTCATCTAGTTCTCTGTTAGACTTAACATTCCCTAAGGGCAGGTTTGGAACCTTACTCATCTTTATATGGCGTCTAAAATAGTGCTTGCTTTATGATAGGTGCTCAGTAAAGGTTGTCTTGAATTGAGCAGATCCTCTAGGGACAGGAGTTGGATGGAGAGCAGACTGTAAAGCCTCATGAGGGCAGGGGCCCTGCCTCTTCCTGAGCTCAGGATACCCAGAGCCTAGCTCAGTGCCTGCCATGAAATTGTTCACTCCATCAAGCCTTGTTAAATGAGTTCGGGGCGGGGGGAGCATGATGGTTTTCTCTCTCTCAGAAAGAAAGCGCTGTATCAAAGCCCTAGCACCCTCTCTACACCCACCTTCAGTATTTCATATTAGATGCGGCCCAAGTGATACTTTCTTTACCGTCCCGTGAAGACAGCATATTGGCAGCCCTGCAAAAACAAAACAAAACAAAACCCTCAGTTCATGGCATACTTGCTATAAATCAGCTATGTGTATTGTCAAATTGTAGAACTGAAAGTATATTCTGATTCGGTGTGTGTATAAGGAAATATACACCAGTATATGCATTAAAACGTCAAGAAGAGCTGGGCACAGTGTCACATGCCTGTAAACCCAGCTATTCAGGAGGCTGAGGTGGGAGGATCGGTTGAGGCCAGGAGTTTGAGGCTGCAGTGAGCTATGATTGCACAGCTGCACTCCAGCCTGTGCTGAGACCTCATCTCTTAAAAAATAAAAAATAAAAAGTCTAAGAGGATACACAGAAATTTTTAAGTGGTTACCTCCACGGAATGGGATTAGGGGATCAGAGGTGAGGGAACTCATGGTTTGGCTATTTCTCGTTCTTTCTGCACTGTTTCAAATTTTTACAAGTGTATGTTATTGTACTTTTAAAAAGATTAGCTTGGCAACAAGTCTAGCCTGAAATGGGTGCTATTTTGACTAGTCTGAGTGAAAAGTGAGGATTTAAATGAAGTAACCCCTAAACTCAGCCAGTCCCATGTTTTTTTAACACTTGGAATATCTAATTCCATTTACACTGCATTCTTCAAATGTAATTTTCAAAGATGCCTTTTGCCTCATCCCTTGCTTTTAAGTATTATTATAGACTTTTGGAGACTCACGAAACAAGCAATCCCTAAATTCTCGCCCAGGAAAGTATCTTGGATTAAATGGTTTTTGAGAACCTTGAGAGTGTATATTCTATGAAATGGAAGAAACAAGAACTAGACAGAGTCACAAATGCTGTTGATCACAGACAATCTCTGCCATCCATAAGGTAAATGTAATACATCTGGCGACCTGCTGAGTGTGAACTTGCAGCAGGTGAGGAAGGAACTCTGAACTCTCACAATCTTGTTTCTTCATTTCCCAGAGAGAAACTCGGCAAAGAGAAAAAGGACATTTCCCTCCAGGTTATCTGAAAGAATTTCAATGCTTACCTTTAATCATGTGACATTGTTTATCTTGGATTAAAAGAAAAGAAAATGTATTTATTTTGTGCATATTTTCAATAAAATATATAAAATCGAGTTGGTATATAGTGCCAAATACCATTAATTAAAAATATTTTAACCTGATATGATAGATTGTTGAATTTTTAAAAATTGTATTGAGATGAGCTTATCAAGAAAATTTGAAGGATTCCAGGGGAAAACATTTTAGTGTTAAAGTACTTGATTATTTTTAAGATAATGCAGCTCTTTTCAGAAAAGGTAGCAGTTAGCTCCAAGAGATATTTCAATGGCTCATATAAAGCCTTCCAGTCACCATCAGATATTTCCTTACATTGCTATGGGCAAGTACTAACATCCAGTTTAAAACCATTGGGAATGCTGAAGTACAGCAAATTGAGGTGACAGCTTGGTCCCCAGCAGAGCCAGGACTGCTTCCTGGTCTGCAGGAGCCCATTTCTCTCCACTGGGCCTTCAAATTAAATCTTGAGGCTGGGTGCCGTGGCTCATGCCTGTAATCCCAGCACTTTGGGAGGCCAAGGTGGGCGGATCACCTGAGGTCGGGAGTTTGAGACCAGCCTGACCAACATGGAGAAACCCCGTCTCTACTAAAAATACAAAATTAGCAGGGCGTGGCAGTGCATGCCTGTAATCCCAGCTACTCAGGCTGAGGCAGGAGAATCGCTTGAACCCGGGAGGTGGAGGTTGTGGTGAGCCGAAATCGTGCCATTGCACTCGAACCTGGGCAATGAGCGAAACTCTGTCTCAAATAAATAAATAAATAAGTCTTGAATAAAGTTAGGGATCAAATATCAATCAGTGGACGTATTACCGCCCCCCCCCCAACCAAAATAAATTGGTGAGTTACAAGGAAGTGGACACATCCATGAATGTTTTTTAGTCCTGTTTGGCATAGAAATGAGTTTGTTCTCTTTTGCAGTTAGAAACATTGTCAATCAGCTGAAAATAATTCAGAAACCTAGTTATGCTTTACACTCCAATTGTGCATTATTACCCAACAGATCAGATAAAAATCAAGAGAAAGACCCTGTGAAATTTCTCCATTTGTTAAAATTAACCATCAACTGGGAAAAATAGAAAAAAACAAACCTTTTCCTAAAAGAGACAGGGAGGCATGGTACCCATTCTATTTGCTAAGGCACTCAAGGAGGAAAGATCATCATATGCAGTAGATAATGTCAGAACCAAAAATCTAGCAATTCTGCCAGGCACATAGTAGGAACTTAAATATTTGTTGAACAGACGCCAAGATGCCAGCTAGTGCCCTCCAGAGATTTTCCAGGCAAGTTCAGAGATGTGCTGCCACTGTCCAATGCAAGGGAACAGACAACTGCACAGAAGCAAATCTGGTCCATCCATCAGCGGCCTTTCAAAACCTACAATCCAGTGATCGCTGATACTCATAATGATGACTCATAAGTGTTGCAATATTCCTGCAGTACCTTCTGAATCATCAAAGACTCATCAAAATTCAGTGTCACTTCAGTACTAAGTACACTTTACCATGTGAATCACTGTATTTGAAGGTTGACCACCCAAGTTTGATAAATGTGACCCCTGTCCTTTAACTGGAATATAGATTAAGCAACATTTTTCCTTCTCCCAACTATGCCAGATAGCAGAGCATCTGCTGCTGCTATAACCCTGTGTCGAAAGAGCCAAGCCTGACTTTATTTAAGCTATAGAGAGGGGTGCTGAAGTGAAGAAGATGGTTTATCATGGTGAATGGAAAAGATGCTACAGAACAAGAGAGTGTGTCCTGACAAGGAGGTCAGCTCAAACCCTGGAAGCTGAAGGGGCTGGTGTGAGGCAGAGTTGAGTCATTTAATACCATTGGCATTGAAGGGGAAGGAAGGCGCTAATTTTGGATGGTTTGTATCAGATTAGCAGGAGCATCTGACTTAAGAAAACAGAGTAATTATTGGGTTTTGTCAAGTGAAAAGTGCGGTTTGGCTTTGGATGCCACCTTTGAAATTTTACTTGAAAAGTGAGGAGGGTTGAAGAGAACGGGAAAGTTGAGAACTCTGGAAGGTGGGAAGAGAGAATTTTCTAAAGGTTTTGTAATATAAGTAGCAAACATTTGTGGATATATATTTGGAGATGAGAGAGAGGAAACAGTAATGAGGACATGACTGCCCCCAAAATGGGGAGAGATGGAAAGGACTTTACCCAACCATTTTCCTACCAACATTAAAGGGATAAAACATGCCTTCTGTAGGGAAATGGATGTCCCATTCCATCCAGAGGGATGGGTGTGCTTTTTTTTCTTTCTTTTTTTCTTTTTTTTTTTTTTTTTTTGAGATGGAGTCTTGCTCTGTCGCCCAGGCTAGGGTGCAGTGGTGCAATCTTGGCTCACTGCAACCTTGGCCTCCTGGGTTCAAGCAATTCTCCTGCCTCAGCCTCCTGAGTAGCTGAGGTTACAGGCACCCACCACCACGCTGGCTAATTTTTGTGTTTTTAGTAGAGACAGGGTTTCACCATGTTGATCAGGCTGGTCTCAAACTCCTGACCTCAAGTGATCCATCCACCTCGGCCTCCAAAATTGTGGGATTACAGGTGTGAGCCACTGTGCCCGGCCAAAGTCTGTTATTTTGTAGAGTTGATTGGTATTTGGTTATCAAGGCTGTGCTAAGATTTGCAGCGATAGAGGAATAAACATTTATGTCTGCCTTTTAAGCTTCTCTTCCAATGAGCTCAAATAGTGGTTATGATATTAGAGAGAGGAAATGCTGGCTGGACAAATTTCCTCTACTTTTGCTTTAGCTAAGATCCCCAAGAGGTGAAATATTTGCTGTAATATGGCATTTGTGCATTCATTCATATTATCTGTTCATTCATCAAATATGTATTGGGCTAGATCCTGTGCCAGGGCTGGACATACAATGCTAAGAAAGTAAAATTCCCCGCCCTCATGGAGAATAACATTCTTCACAGAGTTTGTGGGGAACAGACTCCCTCCAGTACCTTGTGTTTCTCAAGTCTTAAACTCATCCTCTGCTCTGGATTTAAAAGCAAAAGTGGCATCTCCGGGTCTCTCATGTAATATTTGGAGGAACATTACACTTCCCATGTATATTTCATGCCTCTTTCCCAAGATTTTACTGCTGCTTCTAAGGCAGCTAACAGTAGGTAGGAAACTTTGACCTCTCTTTCACTTTGCCCCTTTAGGACCTCCAGTTTTAGACTTCATCAAGCAAGCCTGGTTTCATTTCTTCTTGCTTAGCCTGATGAACCAGTGTGCTGTACACCACTGTTGGAAACACTGGTACAAAGTTCTGGTACAGAACTCTTTCTGAATATTAATCTCCTGTATTGCTATGCCAGAATCAGGTAAGAAGGGGTGTGTGTGTGTGTGCGCGTGCGTGCACGCACGTTTGTGTACTCACAAATGTGGGCACACCATTCTGTATGTTAGAAGGAAAGTCTGTGATTAGCTGTGAGCATAAACACAGCTAACCTGATTCCGGGTTGCTTCATGAATACAGATCCCAGAGCAGCTGTCAAGCTTTCCCCCTCCTTATCTCATCCCGACCTTTTGGGAACAAAAGTGCCCAGACATCTCCCCCTGCAGATTAACAAGCTGCACTTCAGAGGAGCATTTACTGATAAACATCTGCCTTCCAAAGAGAAACCATTTATTTAACAAGCTGCTCTTTAGAAATTTATAGTTGCAGCTTGCCTTCTTGCCATTGCTCTAAATCAAGATTCCCTTCTTTGTCCTCCTCTATTTTTCTTTACTAAAAATTTGCTTGTTGAGCATTGGTATAATTTCCAAGGAGTCAGTGTTCATGCTAACATAAATTTTTTTAAAAGCCCCAACTCGGTTTAAAATTACTTTTTTGTTCACTCATAAAGGATATTTATGAGTAAAATCTATAGAACCCAGTTTGTCGTATTAAACTGCCAGGCTGTGCCCTCAAATGCCCAGAAAAGAGAAATGCATTTAACCACCAAATCTCCAACAGACTTCATCCTTATCACTCTTTGGTTTTGTGTATGTTGACCTGCTCTTGGTCACTCTTGTGTTGTGTGTTTGAGGGTATAGATCATTTTGTAACTTTACTTACATTATAGGGTATATGTATTATCTCCCAGATTAAACTGTAGGATATTTAAAAGGGCAAGAACTCTCTCTTCCGCTTTCGTTGTATGTTTTAGAAGATCTAAAGAGTTTGAAGAGAGCAGATGTGATGTGTGTTAACTAATAGTCTGATGTGAAGTGCACAGTTGTGTGAGGGGACTCTGAGGTCAGACCTGTCTTTGATCTTTTCAGAAGACATGTATGTGATTAGCTGTAGTGCATAAATAGGGTTCCATGTTGTGTCATAAATGCCTCCCCTCTCATGCCTTCAAAAATCAGTCGCTGGGGGACCTTGGGCAGGTTGTATGCCCTCTCTACGAGGCAGCTTCCTCATCTGTAAATGACCATAGTGCTACCACTCACCTCACAGGACAGTGCAAGAAATCAATGCCTTAATCCACAGAAAGCTCTCAGCACAGGGCTTGGCTTTTAAAAGAAATCTTCATTAACTGAAGAACAATAATGAAGACCCTTGGGAGAGGTTTAATTTTTTCAATTCTTCAAAGCCATGCTTTACAGAAAAAGTGAATGCAACACCTCATCAAAATACCTCATTTGATAGACAATGTGTATAAATCTCCCTGTGAATGCCAGTAGCACAAGAGAAGTGTAGGGAGGGAAACTTGACTGTGGTGAGACTGGATATTTTCCAGAGGGAGCTGTAAACATTGCAGCTATAGACAGCCTTCCTGTTACAGATTTGACACCTTACAAATGGATTACTCTGCTCATTAGGATAATTATACCAGACATGCTGGATGGTTTAGTGGAACCCATCTCACACCTGGAAAAGCACCCCAAATACACTAAATTATACTTGCATTAATGTCTTAGTCCATTTGTGTTGCTATAAAGGAATACCTGAGGTGGGGTCGTTTATAGAGAAAAGAGGTTTATTTGGCTCATGGTTCTGCAGGCTGTACAAGAAGCATGGTGCCGGCATCTGCTTCTGGTGAGGCCTCAGGAAGCTTCCAGTCATGGAGGAAGGCAAGGGGAGCTGGCTTGTCACATATTAAGAGAGGGAGCAAGATAGAGGGGGAGGGAGGCACCAGGCTCTTTAATAACCAGATTTCCATGAAGTCACTCATTACAGCAGGGAGATACCAAGCCATTCATGAGAGATCCACCCCCATGACCCAAACACCTCCCACCAGGCCCCACCTCCAACATTGGGAGTCACATTTCAACATGAGATTTGGAAGAGACAAATATCCAAATTATATCAATTAAGAAAGCCAATTTTAAAACGTTGCATTTTTTATTATAAAACTTTTTTATCACAAAAAGCTTGTAAACTATATACAAGTATACAGAGAATATTTTCTTCCATTGTTTTTCATTTTCCTTCTCTCTTTTCTCCCGTCCATTCATGAGTGAGTAGGCTGAATAATGGCTTCCAAAGATATCGATGTCCTGGAGGACATCATGTTAAGTGAAATAAGCCAGGAATGAAAAGACAAATACCAATGATCTTGCTCAGATGTGGAATTGAAAAAAGTTGATCTCGTAGAAGTAGAGAGTAGAATAGAAGTTACAAGAGAATGGAACAGTTAGGGAGATGTTGGTAAAGGATAAAAAATTTCAGGTAGGAGGAAGATGGCTTTGAAGATGGAGGAAAGGGCCATGAGCCAAGGAATGCAGGCAGCTTCTAAAGGCAGAAAGCCAGGAAACAAAATTTTCCCCTAGATCCTCCAGAGAGAGAGTGTGGCCCTGCTGACACCTTAATTTCTGACTTGTTTCTCCAGAACTGTAAGAGAATAAATATGTGTTGTTAATAAGCCACCAAGTTTGTGGAAATTTGTTACACAGCAGTAATAGAAAATGAATACACCATAAAGCTATCAATTTTTATATCTATCAACCTACCTACCCATGTATCATCTTTTTTATATGACTGATATGTTATAGTATATATGTATATATCCATGTATTTTCATGTATATATTTTATTGTGGTAAAATACACACACATCTTGTTATGCAACCATCACCACCATCCATCTCTAGAACTCTTCATCTCACAAAACTAAATTCTGTACCAACTAAACAATAACCCTCCAATCCTCCCTCATGCCTGGCCTGGGGCAACCACCATTCTACCTTCCCTCTCTGTGAATCTCTGTGAATTTGACTACGTACCTCATATAAGTGGAATCATATGGTATTTGTCCTTTTGTGACTGGCTTGTTTCACTTAGTGTAGTGTTCTCAAGGTCCATCCGTATTGTAGCATGTGTCAGAATTCCCTTCCTTTTTAAGGCTGAATAATATGGATTGGCTTGTCCCTCTAGACATTTTTTTTCTGCCAGTCATACCACAGGGGTTATCAGCCTTAGATGGTTTTTTTATGTGAATCTTTCAGTGTAGGGATTTCCAGACCACAAAGTTGGTACCAATTTGAACAGCACATACAGGAGAAAAGGCCCATGGTTAGAATTCTCAGAGTAGTATTGATTTTAAAGACAGGTAGACGATTACCACATTTTCTTATCCATTCATCCATTGATGGACCCTTGGGTAGCTTCCACCTTCTGGCTATTTTGAACAATGCTGCTATGAACATGGGTGTACAAATGTCAGCTTGAGTCTCTGCTTTCATTTCTTGTGGGTTGGGTTTTTGAGAAATCATCATACTGTTTTCCACAGCTGCATCATTTTACATTCCTTCCAGCAGTGTCAAGTATTCCTTCCAATTTTGCCAGTGTTTATTATTTATTTGTTTGTTGTGAGACAGAGCCTCACTCTGTAGCCCAGGCTGGAGTCCAGTGGCATGATCTCTGCTCACTGCAACCTCCGCCTCCCAGGTTCAAGTGATTCTCCTGCCTCAGCCTCCCAAGTAGCTGGGATTACAGGCACCCAACCACCACGGCTGGCTCATTTTTGTATTTTTAATAGAGACAGGGTTTCACCATGTTGGTCAGGCTGGTCTTGAACTCCTGACCTCAGGTGATCTTCTCACCTCGGCCTCCCTAAGTGCTGGGATTACAGGCATGAGCCACCGGACCTGGCCTATTATTATTATTATTATTATTATTATATTAGCCATCCTAACAGGTGCGAAGTGCTATACCATTGTGGTTTCTGCATGTACGTATTTTGTGAATATATGTTTTAATAAGCCAATTACAAATTTGAATCAGAGAAGACCATAGGAATACAAAATTTAGAGAATTTTAATTTATAAAAAGGGAAGGCTATGTTCTTCAAATTTTGTAAGTTACTTTTTTATTCATACAAAGTATTTTATGTATTTATGGGGTACATGTATTTGTTCAATGCATAGAATGTGTCAAGTCAGGATATTTGGAGTATCCATCGCCTTGAGTTATTTATTTATTTATTTATTTGAGATGGAGTCTTGCTTTGTCGCCCAGGCTGGAGTGCAGTGGCGTGGTCTTGGCTCACTGCAACCTCCACCTCCCGGGTTCAAGCGATTCTTCTGCTTCAGCACCCCCCGAGTAGCTAAGATTATAGGCATGCGCCACCATGCCTGGCCAATTTTTGTATTTTTGGTAGAGATGGGGTTTCACCATGTTGGCCAGGCTGATCTCAAACTCCTGACCTCACGTGATCCGCCTATCTCAGCCTCCCAAAATGCTGGGATTACAGGCGTGAGCCACTACGCCTGGCCCACCTTGAGTATTTATTACGTCTATGTGTTGGTAACATTTCAAGTCCTCTCTTAATAGATACTTTGAAATATACAATCCCTTGTTGCTAACTATAGCCACCCTACCCTGCAGCTGAACACTGTGGCTTATTTGTTCTGTCTCACTGTATATTTGTACCCACTAACCAACCTCTCTTTATTCAAACCCCTCCAACCCACACCCCCTTCCCAGCCTCTAGTGTCTATCATTCTGTTCCCGATCTCCATGACATCAGTTGTTTCAGCTCCCCATGAGTGAGAACAATAGATATGTATATTTTTAATTCATTTTTTTCCATTCAGTTTTATATCAGTCTTCAAATTTTTTAAAATGCCTATAGAACAATCTATTTTAAACACGTACTGTAATTTATGTAACCATTTTTTTTGTAGAACATTAGGGCATTTTCAACTTTTTAGCATTGTAGGTTACAATAGTGTGAGTATAATTGAACACTAACCCTTTATTCATATGTCTGAGAATTTCCTAAGAATGAATTACTCAAAGCAGCATTACATTTAAAACCGTTGGTATGCTTAAGCAGATTGCTTTCCCAAAGGGTGTTTCAGTTAGCAGACAGTGAGCATGCTGGGTAGCACATCTTTTCAACACACTTGCTCAGGTGCAGAGTATCTCCAGAATACAGATGAGGACACCTGTGAACTTGAAGCACCACAGTAGCAGAATCCACTTGCTTATTTGAGTATTTGGGGGCAAATAGTCTCATTTTTTGGTGTTTTTTTTTTTTTTTTTTTTTTTTTTGAGACAGAGTCTCACTGTGTCGCCCAGGCTGGAGTGCAGTGGAATGATCTTGGCTTACTGCAACCTTCACCTCCAGGGTTCAAGTCATTCTTCCACCTCAGCCTCCTGAGTAGCTAGGACTACAGGTGTGCATGCCCATGCCTGGCTAATTTTTTTTTTTTTTTTTTGAGACTGAGTCTCACTCTGTCGCCCAGGCTGGAGTGCAGTGGCGCGATCTTGGCTCACTGAAAGCTCTGCCTCCCGAGTTCACACCATTCTCCCCCCTTAACCCTCTGAGTAGCTGGGACTACAGGCGTGCACCACCACACCCAGCTAATTTTTTGTATTTTTAGTAGAGACGGGGTTTCACCGTGTTAGCCAGGGTGGTCTCGATCTCCTGACCTCTTGATCCGCCCGCCTTGGCCTCCCAAAGTGAGTTTTTGTATTTTTAATGGAGATGAGGTTTCACCATGTTGGTCAGGCTGGTCTTGCACTCCTGACCTCAGGTGATCTGCCTGCCTCTGCCTCCCAAAATGCTGGCATTACAGGCATGACCCACGATGCTTGGCCTCAATTGTCTTCAAAATCAACAATCCTATATTGAAAAGTGAGGCCAGGCACAGTGGCTCATGCCTGTAAACCCAGAACTTTGGGAGGCCAAGGTGGGTAGATCGCTTGAGGTCAGGAGTTCAAGACCAACCTGGCCAACATGGTGAAACCCCATTTCTACTAAAAATACAAAATTAGCTGGATGTGGTGGTATGCACCTGTAATCCCTGTTACTCTGGAGGCCGAGGCAGGAGAATCACCTGAATCCAGGAGTAGGAGGTTGCCATGAGCTGAGACTGGGCCACTGCACTCCAGCCTGGACAACAAGGTGAGACCCCGTCTCAAGGCAAACAAACAAATAAATAAATAAATAAAGACAATTGAACCTGATTTTTCCCTTAGATTCTCCAGAGAAAGAACTTCTATATGGAAAGAGGCAGATTGCTGGAAGGAGTAAATAATTCACAGACAACTCATAAGCCCTGAGCTCTGGTCTGTCTCTGCCAATTAAATGCTGTGGAACTTTTGGGTAAGTCATTTAAAATATCTGGGTTTCAGATGATTCAGTTACATATGAGTGGGTCCAACCCTCGAATCTTCTCACTTGTCTTAGTGATGATGAGCTAATGATGTCTGGTGGAGCCTCATCTGTTGAGATTTTGGAGGTGTGGGTTAAAGTTGTGTCCCTCAAAGCATTTCTTCCTCTCAGGCATACCAGAGGTGAGATTCACAGACCACAAAGATAGTATGAATTTAAACTGCAAATGCAGGAGAAAATGATTCATAGTTAGAATTCTCAGAGTAATATTGGTTTTAAAGACAATGTAACCTAGAGGACAAGATGAGACCAGAAAGCTCTCTTGTCACACCTCTTTGCCAGTGGGTGGATGTTATTCCTAATCTACCCTTTTACTGAAGTATAAGCCTTTGAGGGTGCTGATACTAGATAACTTACACTCTAGCTTCCTACTATAGATTCAAGGCTTTATCTCCTGTCCTCACATGGCTGTTAAAATAGTAGCCCCTCAGTTATCAAGTCCAGCAACATTTATCAGGGCAGTCTGAGCTGCATTTCTGTTTCATTTCTGGCTTTGCCCCGAGGGATTTCTCTTACTTTCTTGCATGTTCAGTTATATATTTAAAAGCATGTTTATTATATTTTGTCCATCATTTCCAGGTGTTTTTTGATAGGAGGGTTCTCAGTTAATTTACTATATTGCCATAAATGGAAGTCAGCCCTCTAAATTCTATGATTCTGTGACTATTAACCTCTTTTCTCCCATTGAGCTAATTTGGATATTTATCTTATTTCATCTTGATTCATTGGGTGTTCTGACTCCATGGTGTGTTGGAAATATCCTCAGTTCTCTTGGAGGAATATTAATAAGAAATTGCATAAGTGAACCAAAAAAACCTAAAAGCTAATGGCTGTAACTTTGATATTTACATGTTGGGGCTGACCCTAGCATGGAGATATTCAATTGTCCTCCCTCTAATATTTCAGCCTATGCCATGATACAGACCATTAAGGTCACTTGTGTTGCTTTACTCGGCAAGTATAACTTGTGATATACTTGTAATATTGTGAAAGATTAAACTTAAATGGCAATATTAAATGTCAGCAAAAGTTAAATCAGTGGTGTACTAAAGAGACTCCAGTTCTATCTAATGCCTAACATAGGGAAGGTCTGACTGCCCTTTGGACTGGATATGATCTTGGGTTTCTTAGACATTGGAGGCTGAGGTACCTTATCTACTGCCTCACAGTTCTGGAGGCTCTACAGCTGCTATTAACATGTCAGTAGGGTTGGTTTCTTCTGAGACCTCTCTCCTGGGCTTGCAGGTGGCCATCTTCTCCCTGTGTCCCAACGTGGTCTTCCCTCTTTGTGTGTCTGTGCCCTAATCTTTTTTTCTTATAAGGATACCATTCAGATTGGATTAGGATCCACTCGTATAACCTCATTTTACCTTAGTTATCTAAAGACCCTATTTCCAAATACAGTCATGTTTTGAGGTACTGGGTGGTAGGACTTCAATATTTGAATTTGAGGGGACAAAATTCACCCTTCAGGAATGTAAAAGGTGGTCTGCTAATAGGCCTATGGATTATCAAGTCATTTTTTTTTTAAAGATAAGTGATTGTATTTCTTTCTAGAGCTATTACAGTGGTTCATACTGGCTTAACTTTATTATTCTCTTCCATCAATTTTCTAATTTAATAAAAGTTAAAACCTTCTATTATGAAAAATTTCAAACTCTCACAAAAATAGAGTAAATAGTATAATGAATTCAGTGTCCTCACTGCCTAGTATTATGGGTTGAATTGTGTTTCCCAAAAATTCATATGATGAAGTCCTAACCCCCAGCACCTCAGAATGTGACTGTATTTGGAGATAGGGTCTTCAGATAATTAAGGTAAAATGAGGTCCATGAGTGGACCTAATCCAACCTGACTGGTATTCTTACAAGAAGAGGAGATTAGGACACAGACACACACAGAGAGAAGATCATGTGGGGACATAAGAAGATGGCCATCTACAAGCCGAGGAGAGGGGCCTCAGAAGAAACCAATGCTGCTAACATCTTGCTATCAGTTACCTAGCCCCCAGAACTGTGAGACAGTACATTCTGTTTTTTAAACCACAGAAGACACGTATTGCATGACTATTTTTTTTAAGTCCAGAATAGGCAAATCTGTAGAGATAGAACATAGATAAGTGATTGCATAGGGCTTATAAGTTGGAGGTAATTGGAAAGTGACTGCCAGTGGGTATCAGGTTTCATTTTGGGGTAATGAAAATGTTTGAAAATTGACTGTTGTGATGGTTGCCCAACTCTATAAATATACTACAAAACATTGCACTATACAAATTAAATGTGTGCATTGTATGATGTGAATTAAATTCCAGTAAGCCTGTTTTTAAAGACTCAAAGAAAATTAAAGAATGACTGAAAACTTTCCAAGTTTGATGAAAATTATAATGCTACAAATCCAAGAATCTCAAAAAACCTTAAGCACAAGAAAGGTTAAGAACATGACCCCACGCCGGGTGCGGTGGCTCATGCCTGTAATCCCAGCACTTTGGGAGGCTGAGGCGGGTGAGCCACTTGAGGTCAGAAGTTCGAGACCAGCCTGACCAACATGGAGAAACCCTGTCTCTACTAAAAATACAAAATTAGCCAGGTGTGGTGGCACATGCCTGTAATCCCAGCTACTTGGGAGGCTGCCGCAGGAGAATTGCTTGAACCGGGAGGCAGAGGTTGTGGTGAGCCAAGACTGTGCTATTGCACTCCAGCCTGGGTGACAGAGCAAGACTCCAACAAAACAAAAACAAAAACAAAAACAAAAAAAGAAACAAAAACAAAAACACATGACCCCAAAGCGCAACATCATCAAATTGCTTAAAATTAGTGATTTGGGTCCTCTGGAATTAAAAGAAAAGAGAGAGAGAAACTAGTGATAAGAAGAAAGCAGTCAGAGGGAGTTGGGGAATGACGTTGTTTACGGAAGGATGACAACAGATTTCTTCTCAGAAAAAATGTAAACCAGAAGACAGTGGTACTACATTTTTGAAGTTTAAGTGCTGCTTGACTTATGATGGGGTTATGTTCCAAAAAACTCATCATAAATTGAAAATATCATGTCTAAAATACACTTTCAACTTACATTTTTGATTTATGATGTGTTTATCTAGACATAATTCCATCATTAGTCAAGGAATGTACTGAATGTGTTTCACTTTTACACCATCATAAAATTAAAAAGTCGTAAGTCAGGGAAAATCTGTACTGCAAGAAAAACACTGTTAACCTAGATATCTTTGCCTAGTGAAAATATCTTTCAGAAATGAAGATGAGATAAAGGCTTTTCATACCAACAAAAGTGGAAAGAATTCATCATAAGAAGACTTGAGTGAGAAGAAATGCTAAGAAAGCTCTTCAAGTAGAAGAAAATGATACCAGATGGAAATCTGGATCTCCACAAAGGAACAAAAAGTATTGAGAATGGGAACTATCCTATGTGGGTAAATATGAGGGTTTTTAAAATTATTTAAATCTCTTTAAAGTGTTTCTCAGTCTTTTTAATTTTATTCTCTGACGAAGCATTTTTAGACCTTTTTCCCCAACCAAATTCTCCCCACCTTCTGCATAAAATTTTAATACCACAGATATACCATGTATTTGTTTATGTTCTGTGGCCTTTTGGGGAAATACAAGCCATTGTAATATTGAACATTTTTTTCAGTCTCCAAGAACTTTATTTTTATTTTTTTGCCCCTTGGTGGGTAGGAGTGGGCAATATAACCCCATTGAGAATGCAGGCTTTAAAGCAGAATTGGTTGTTTAAAGAGAAAATGACAAATTATTGTGTGTTTTATGACATATGTGGAAGTAAAGTATATGGCAACAATAGCACAAAGCTGAGAGAAGAAGAATTGAAGTATGTTCTTATACTATTTGTGAAGTGATGTAATATCACTTGAAGGTAGACTGTGATAACATAAGATGTATAGTATAAACCCTAAAACAAACACTAAAATAACACAAGAGGAGGTATTGCTAATACAACAACAAAGGGGGTAAAATTAAATAATAAAAAACCTGAATCCAAAAGAAGGAATAAAAAGAGTAAAGGGAGCAAAGAACAGATGGGACATAGAGAAAATGAGTAGCTATATGGCAGATTTAAATCTAACCATATCAATAATTATATTAAATATAAATGGTATAAATACCCCAATTCAAATGCAGAGATTGTCAGATTGGACTAAAGAACAATACTTTGCCATATGCTGCCAACAAGGAACCCACTTTAAGTATAAGAAACAGCTTAGTTAAAACAAACAAACCACTATTGCCATCTATCAAGAATCCCTTCATATTATTTTATTTATTAATTTTTTTTAATTTTTAATTTTTTTTTTGAGACGGAGTCTTGCTCTGTCACCCAGGCTGGAGTGCAGTGGCATGATCTCTGCTCACTGCAACCTTCACCTCCTGGGTTCAAGTGATTCTTCTGCCTCAGCCTCCTGAGTAACTGGGATTACAGGCGTGCACCACTGCACCTGGCTAATTTTTGTACTTTTAGTACAGACGGGGTTTCAACATGTTGGTCAGGCTGGACTCAAACTCCTGACCTTGAGATCCGCCCGCTTCGGCCTCCCAAAGTGCTGGGATTACAGGTGTGAGCCACCATGCCCAGCCTATTTATTTATTCATTTTAAGATAGGGTCCTGCTCTGTTGCCCAGGCTGGAGTGCAGTGGTGCAATCTCGGCTCACTGCAACCTTTGCCTCCTGGGTTCAAGCAATTCTCCTACCTCAGCCTCCCGAGTAGCTGGGATTACAGGAGCGCGCCACCACGCCCGGCTAATTTTTTGTATTTTTAGTGGAGATGAGGCCTTGCCATGTTGGCCAGGTCGGTTTCAAACTCCTGACCTCAGGTGATCCATCTGCCTTGGCCTCCCAAGTGCTGGGATTACAGGCATGAGCCACAGCGCCTGGCCTGTTCTTACTTTTAAATCTTGTACTATGTACATCTTTCTGAGCTTCATCAAGTCCTTTCTGGAATGAGGCAAGATTTATGAGTGATACTTCAGATGAAACATAATAGATTTAAACACTTATTTCAGAAAGGAATAAAGACTTACGTGTCAATATGAAAAAATGAAGGAAGATAAAGCAATAGATTAAATCAAAAGAATGTAGGAGAGAAAACATAAAAATAAGAGCAAACACTGATTTTTTAAAAAACAACACATCCTAGAACAAAGCCCAAATTTGGTCTTTAAAAGAGACTGATAAAATAGTCAGCTATCTGGTGAGATTGGTAAAGAAAAAAATGGTAATATTGAGGTGAGAAAAAGGGATATAACTATAGATACAACCAAAATTAAAAGAAGATAAGAAAATACTGTGAACAGCTTTATGGTGATAAATTTGGAAACTTAGACAAAATGGATAAATTCTTAGAAAAATATGACCTATAGGGAAACTGTCTCAAAAACAGAAATAGTAAGACTGACTAGCTCAATATATATATAAGGAAAATAAATGAAAGTAGTAGTTAAAATTTTTTACCCAAATAAAACACCGTGCCCAGATGATTTTTACAGGTAAGTTCTAAAAAGCTTTCAAGGAACACATTGTTCTAATCTTAGACTTAGTTTTCTAGAGCATAATAAAAGATCAAATATTCTCCAACTCATTCTATTAGCTTAATTTAGTCTTGATGGCAAAATCAGGCAAGCCCAGCAGAAGAAAAGAAAAAATCTAATTGCAACTTTAGCAAAGATGAAATTCTAAACCAGTGATAGAAAATAGAATCCAGTCATAAATGTAATAAAAGGTACTGTATCATAATCAATCTAGATTTATTCCAGTAATGAAAGAATAGTTTAATATTAGTGTGATGGCTAATACTGAGTGTCAACTTGATTGGATTGAAGGATACAAAGTATTGATCCTGGATGTGTCTGTGAGGGTGTTGCCAAAGGAGATTGACATTTGAGTCAGTGGAGTGGGAAAGGCAGACCCACCCTTGGGTGGGCACAGTCCAATCAGCTGCCGGCATGGCTAGAATATAAGCAGGCAGAAAAATGTGAAAAGAGAGAGACTGGCGTAGCCTCCCAGCCTACATCTTTCTCCCGTGCTGGATGCTTCCTGCCCTCGAACACTGGACTCCAAATTCTTCAGTTTTGGAACTCAGACTGGCTCTCCTTGCTCCTTAGCCTGCGGTGGCCTACTGTGGGACCTTGTGATTGTGTGAGTTAACAATCCTTGATAAACTCCCCTTTTATATATACCTATTCCATTAGTTCTGTCCCTCTAGAAAACCCTAATACAATTAGGAAAGCACATCTCACACACACACACACACACACACACACACACACACGACTTTATAAAATTAAGAGATGAAAGGGGAAAAATGATATGATCATATTAATAGATACAGAAAAATTAAATAATGCTTTTTAATGATAAAAATATAGAAAACTAAGAATATTAAAGAATATCCTTGATCTGATAAAAGCTATCTATTAAAAAGCCACATAAAACACCAATCTTTTTTTTTTTCGATTCAGGAGGTACATATGCAAGTTTGTTACATGAGTATATTGTGTGATGCTGAAGTTGGGCTTCTATTGATCCTACCACCCACATTGTGAATATAGTACCCGATAGGTAGTTTTTCAACCCTTGCTCGTTCCCTCCCTCCCCTCTTTTGGAGTCCCTAGTGTCTGTTGTTCCAATCTTGCCCAAAACATCCATCTTAATGAACAACCTAATAAACATTCTCATTAAAAGAAAAGTCAAGTTACTTAAACATTGAATTGGTCCTATCCAGTGCAGTTAGACAAGAAAAATATTTAAGTCATAACCTATGCTTCTAACTAGGACAAATTAGGTTACAGTGAACTGAAGCTTTCCTACAAAACAACTAGAAAGATTGTTTTTTGAAAAAACTGAAAGCATCACAAACTATCTGAGGCAAACAGACCCTATCAGCCACGATCCCTAGAGAAGAACACCACAGTGAGGAAAGCCAACCTCATGCTGTCTTTTTTCCCTCCAAGTATTTGCCAGTTGTTGGTCATGGGAGGCGGGAAGATGAGATTCTGGGCAGAAGGCCTAGGCAGAAAGCTGCTGCTAAGAAGAGAGATGCCTGCTGAAATGTTGGCAATCTTAAAGGACTAGAAAGACAGAAATTGGAGTTTAGGGCTAATAAGTCTTTGGAATTTGGAGTGGAAGGGAGCAGAAATCCTGGTCACAAGGGAGGCACAGCACATTTTTGCCCAACAAACCGCTCTTTGTCTTTCTAGGGATTTGTTGACTTTTTGAATTCTTAAACTGCTTTTGAAGCAAAGCAGAAAACTCCCAATGGGTAAAGCAGAGTTTTCTTCCTTCTCACAGTGCTGGGGATGCCAGAGTTGGAATTCAAGACCCAGGGAGAAGGGCTTCAGTCAGCACTCCAGTACCTCAGCTGGGAATCCTGGAGGCTATACCCTATGTATGGGGAAAATGAGAGGTAGATGGAAACTAAAAAACAAACAAACAAACCAGTCCCTGATTAGTTGTGACTTTATCTGCCTACCAGAAAATAGGACTAGCCCTCTCTGGAAGATGATAGCATTATCCAGAACCTCATACACAAAATTTACCCAGGACACTCATGAAGAGGAGGAAGAAAAGACAACATAAACAGACATACAGGTCACCTACTTATTGGAGTTAACAGATGGATGTTCAAATCTGTATTATTCTTATATTCAAGAGAATGAATGACAAAGAGTAGAATTCCACTGGAGAACTAGTTAACCAAGGCTAGATGGCTTCATTGAAAGACTTTGTCAAGCATGAATAAAGCCACTATAAATATTCTTGCACAAGTCTCTTTGTGAATACATTTTTATTCCTTTAGGTAAACGCCTAGCGGAGGAATTGCTGGGTCATACATAGGGTAGGAGTATTATAACCTTATAAGAAACTGTCAAATGGTTTCCAAAATGGTTTCACCCATTTATATTCCCACAGACTTTATTCATAATAACCAATCCTGAGGGAAAATCTATAATGTTCGTCAAAAGAAGGAAATCCTGGCTGTGCCTATAATCACAGCATTCTGGGAGGCCAAGGCAGGAGGATCACTTGAGCCCGGGAGTTCAAGACCAGCCTGTGCAACATAGTGAGATATCGTCTCTACAATTTTTTTTTTAATTAGCGGGGTGTGTTGACACACACCTGTGGTCCCAGCTACATGGAAGGCTGAGGTGGAGGATTGCTTGAGCGCAGGAGGTCAAGGCTGCAGTGGTTTATGACCACACCAGTCCACTCCAGCCTGGGTGACAGAGCAAGACCCAGTCTCAAAAGAAAAAAGAAGGAAATCCTGTCATTCATGACATCATGGATGAAACTTCAGGGCATTATTCTAAGTGAAATAAGCCAGTCATAGAAAGACAAATACTGCATGATCTCACTTAGATGTGTGATATGGTCTGGCTCTGTGTTCCCACCCAAATCTCACCTTGAGTTGTAATTCCCATGTGCTGGGGGAGGGACCTCATGGGAGGTGATTGAACCATGGGGCGGTTCCCCTGTGCTGTTCTCATGATAGTGAGTGAGTTCTCATGAAATCTGATGATTTTGTGAGGGGCTTTTCCCCCCTTCGATCTGCACTTCTCTTGGTCTTCTCCTTCTTGCTGCCATGTGAAGAAAGACATGTTTGCTTCCCCTTCTGCCATGATTGTAAGTTTTCTGAGGCCAAGCCCTGGGGAACTGTGAGTCAATTAAACCTCTTTCCTATATAAATTACCCAGTCTCGGGTATTTCTTCATAGCTGCGTGAGAACAGACTAATACAATGTGGAATCTAAAAGAGTCAAGTACACAGAAGCAGAGAGTAGCATGGTGGTTGCCAGAGGCTGCAGGGAGGAGGAAATGGGGAGCATTTGACAGGTGGAGCTCCAGTTAAGCAGGATGACTGTGCTCTAGAGATCTGCTGTATAATGTAATGACTATATTTAGCCATACTACATTGTACACTCAACAGTTTGTTAAGAGGGTAGATAAAAAATTTGTTAAGAGGGTAGATCTCATGATAAGTCTTCTTACCACAAAAACAAAAACAAAACCAATGTCCATTGACAGGAAAATGGGTAAACAATTCATGGAATATTCATACCCTGGAATACTATTCAGCAGTAAAAGGAATGAAACAACTGATCTAGACCCAACAGTATGAACAAATGTCAAACTCACTCTGTTGGGCAAAAGAGCCCAAATGTAGAAGAACACATAATTTCATGATTTCATTCATATGAAGTACAAGAATAGGCTGAAATAAAGTCAGATGCAGTGACTTACGCCTGTAATCTCAGCACTTTGGGAGGCCAAGGTAGGGGAATTGCTTGAGGCCAGAAGTTCAAGACCAGCCAGAGCAACATAGTGAGACCCTGCCTCTACAAAAGTTGAAAAAATAACCAGGCATGGTGGTGTGTGCCTATAATTCTAGCTACTCTGAAGGCTGAGGCAGGAGGATTACTTGAGGCCAGGAGTTCAAGGCTGCAGTGAGCCATGATTGTGCCACTGTACTCCAACCTGGGTGACAGAGCTAGACCCTGTCTCTAAGAAAAAAAAAAAGAAGAATAGGCTGAAGTGTTCTACAGTGATAGACTTCAGAACGGTTATCTGTGGGAGTTGGGGACTGACTGGAAGAGGACATAAGAGCAATTTTGGGGATAATAGAAATGTTCCATGTATCTTGGTTGCAGTAATAATTCTATGAGGTATATATTTATCAAACCTCAATGAATTGTACACCTAAGATATCTGCATTGCACTTTATGCAAATTTAACCTCAAGAAGAAAAATAATTTCAACAATATCGAACTCTAGTTAATAGGCTTGCTTTTCTCAGTGGCTTGGCTTAGCAATTCTAAAACTATTGTAGATATTTCTCTCTGTTGGAGGAAGTAGTTACAAACATGGAAAGGAGAAAAGACCATTGCCAAAGCCAGCATTCTCTGGTATTTCTTTAATCCGAATTTCTTAAAAAATTCTAGAATTTGGAAACATTTTGGACAAATGGGAATTCATTGTAAAAATAGATTAGAATCTTAATACTTACATCTTTGATATGTCAGTTCTCACTTAACATTAATTTCAAGACCATATCCTAGATGTCTAATAGATTTTGCTTTACGTTGGAGTTTCCAAAGAATGCCTTTTAGAAATCCTTTCCTATAAAAAGAAACAGTGGTTTTTCAAAATATGTACATAGAACAAAAGGACTTCCCTGTCAAAATAGGCAGGGTCCTCGGTGAGACCTAAATATTCTGCTGTTTCTACTTTAAGCCTCTTAGCTGCGTTTCTGTTTCTATAGAGCAAGAGCAGATCCCAGAAAAGTAATTTTTCTTCCTTTGTTGAAACTTCTTTATCTGGCAGAAAATGGTAACTCATCAAACCTGCAGCAGAAGGCAACTTTTCAACTCTCAGTCAATTTGATCAACATTCAGCATCCATCAAATGAAGGATTGGGAGTGATAACCTTAAAAAATCCTGCTAGGCTGCTGGTTATTGATTCTCTGTTCAGCCTGATGGATGAAGATGCAAAGGCAACAAGTGAAAGTGCAAACCTGGCTGCCGGCCTCCTTCATACCACGTTAGGTTAGGCAGGACTTGTGTCTGAAAAGCACCATTGTTAGTTTTACCAAAAATGCACTGCTGTCATCACGACCAATCAGAATGTCACCCTAGCTGGAGATCTGCTCCTCCTGGCCTTTCCTTGGGATTTTCAGAAAAGCTCAGAAAACAATTTACAATAAAACTTAATTACTTTTAGCCTGGCTGTTTGCGATCCACTATGATTGGAACTATTTTGGGGATGACGTGTGCAATTTATGCTAAGAAGAAAACACTAGGTGTGATAGTAGTATGAAGGAACTTGTAGGAAGGGTTTAATTTATTGTAGAGATTAAGTTCTTTTTGAGGTCTTTAGAAGCATTGATTCATATTAAAATAATAAATGTGCTAATTATAGTTGAATCGTTTCAACTCATTAAGCCAGTACCGCAAGACCTCTCATTAGCCATGCGACATGAGTGGTTAAGAATGATTATGGGTGGTGTCCAAGGACTCCAATAGTCAATCAGCTGGTGCACGGCTGGGCTAACCTTGAATAACATCACAAAGCAATAGATCCTTCTGGCAGCGTCCTTCTCCCTAAATCCCGCCCCCAGCCCCATAAGTGTTCAATGCCCTTAGGTTTTCTGCCTCTTAACACCTCTGAGAGGTTTCCCTGGCCAGTTGCCTTAAGAAGGATCAAGTTAATGAGCTGTGCTTTATGACGGCACTTGCACCATCCTGTTATAATAATTTATTTAGATTTCTATCCCTACTAGACTGTAAATTCTAGTCAATAATTTTTATTGAATTAATGTATAAAGAATGCTATAAATAACTTATACTAGTTTATCTAATTCAAAGTCATTAAAATTTAATAAACTAGATTGGAAGTTCCTGGTAGACAGAGTAAGTATTATTTAAGTTGCAGCCCTGGGATATAAGACAATATCTGACACAAAATGGTCACTTAACAAATAGTAAAGAAACAATGGTGATGGTCTCTTACCTGCAAAGGAGCAAGCTTTATGGGAGATTTTTTTTTTTTTTTTTTTTTTAAGAGATGGAGTCTTGCCGTGCTGCTTAGACTGGACTTGAACTCCTGGGCTCAAGCAATCTTCCCACCTCAGCCTCCTGAGTAGCTGGGACTCCAGGTGCATGCCACTGCACCTTTATGAGAGAATTCTGACCTTAGAGGGGGTAGACTATTAGATGGGCATCTTTCCAGTTGCCGTGGGGTTGTGGCCTCTCACTGGGAGCTCCAAAAGGGGAAACAGTCGTGTGAGTGACCCCCTTTAACTCAGACCTAGCAGAGCCATGGCAAACAGCTGGACGACAGTAGTGAGTCTCCTGTCACTGGAAGTGTCCAAGGAAAGTCAGGTTGCATCAAAGTTGCTGGACCAGGGTCCCTTTTTGAGTGGATTACATGAGCTCCGTGGTTCTGTGGATGGGGCACTTATTTACTCCTTCATTCACAGAGTGACAAAAGTGAACTGTCATTGTCATCTGTCCATGGCTCAGCATTACCAAAGAAGCAATGAGAACATTTTCCAACGCAGAGCGTGAAATGCTTGTTGCAGCTAGCTGGAATGCTCAAGCACACAAATCAATTTCCATGTTAATTAGTATCTGCTGTACACCGTGAAAATGGAAAGAGCCACAAAACCAAAGTTACATAACTAACTTCCAGCTGCAGCCTGTGTCACCTGAAAATCCTTTTAGTAACTTTGTTCTGAGGATATCTTGCCTGTCTGAGAAACTGTGAACAAACAGATTCAGGTAAACAATAAGAAAAGATTTTGAAATCTCTCTTCCTGTAAGAGGATGTAATTTGGCTGCATGTTGTATATTTACTTGAGCTGATTGAAAGAGGAAAAAAGAAACTCATCTGGTACCATGCAAATCAGCTCATGAAACATCCAGAGGGTGTGATATTTTTACAAAACAGTCCAGCCAGTTTACACTGTTGATTTAGGAAAAAATACATTCTTTCACCTTCATTCTAAGTTAAAGGTTTGTTTTGAAAATGGAAGGAAACTCATGCTTCACTCATGCTCCTGTCCAGCATTGACATGGAGGCAGTGGAAAAAAGAAAGAAAGGAAGAGGTGATGAAGGTACCTTTAAAGATGTGATGCTGATCATGAGGGCGCCGCGGGGAAGAGAGTCTGCTTCCCTCTGTCTCAACCCTCTCTCAGCTTCTTACCACTTCATCCTCTGCCAGTAGGGACAACATCTTCCCCAAAACCTTTTTAAGTAGGAGGTTTGAGCAAAGGATAACTTAGGCACACATCTGGAGGACTGTGGGGAGTGGTGTGTGTGTGCACTGAGAATAACCACGTAAACTCTAAGGATTTTCCAAGTTCTAACATTTTTATTTCATCAGAGAGAGAAGATTTTCTTAAACGACTGTGAGGACACCATAGAGGTATGAGATATGGTTTGGCTGTGTCCCCACCCAAATCTCATCTTGATTTAATTCCCACATGTTGTGGGAGGGACCCAGTGGGAGATAATTGAATCATGAGGGCTGCTTCCCGTATACTGTTCTTGTGGTAGTGAATAAGTCTCACAGGATCTGATGGTTTTATAAGTGGTTTCTGCTTTGGCTTGGCTCTCATTCTTTCTCGTCCATTACCACGTAAGACATGCCTTTCACCTTCTGCCATGATTGTGAGACCTTCCCAGCCACGTGAAACTGCGAGTCCATTAAACTTCTTTTTTCTTTATAAATTACCCAGTCTTGAAAATGTCTTTATCAGCAGTATGAAAACGGACTAATACAGAAGGCGGGAGGAGGTGACAGGTGTGCACTCCTGTGCTGGACAGGGGGAGAAATATGTGCATGTGGATGAGAGTGAGTAAGCATGAAGGAAAACAAAATAACAAAGAGAAATGCGTGATGATGGTTGGGGAACTTGTGGAGACTGAGAAGATAAAGGAGAGGACTGGATGTACAGTTAACCATTGGACATCTCTGGGGTTAGGGGCACTGATCTCCTTGCAGTGGAAAGTCCATGTATAACCTTTGACTCTCCCAAACTTAACTATTAATAGCCTACTGTCGACCAAAACCTTACTGAAAACATAAGCAGTTGATTAAAAACATATCTGGGGCTGAGCATAGTGGCTCACGCCTGTAATCCCAGCACTTTGGGAGGCCAAGGCGGGCCGATCACCTGAGGTCAGGAATTTGAGACCAGCCTGACCAATATGACGATACCCCCATCTCTACTAAAACTACAAAAATTAGCCAGGCGTGGTGGCATGCGCCTGTAATCCCAGCTACTTGGGAGGCCGAGGCAGGACAATCACTTGAACCTGGGAGATGGAGGTTGCAGTGAGCCGAGATTGCACCATTGCACTCCAGCCTGGGCAACAAGAGTGAGAAAACAAAACAAAACAAAACAAAAACCATATTTGGTATATGTATTATATACTGTATCCTTATAATAAAGTAAGCTAGAGAAAAGAAAATTTTATTTAAAAATCATCAGGAAGAGAAAATATATTTCCTATTAAGTGGAAGTGGATTACCATAAAGGTCTTCATTCTCATCATCTTCATGTTGAGTATGCTGAGGAGGAGGAGGAGGAAGAGGAAGAGGAGGGGTTGGTCTTGCTGTCTCAGGGGTGCCAGAGGCAGAAGAAAATCTGCATATAAGTAACGTGTGTTGTTTAAGACTCAACTGTCCATAGGAAGAACTTTCATATTTGGAATTGTCTCACTTGATTACGGAGATTGAGAAGTCCCATGATCTGCCACCTGCAAGCTGGAGAAGCAGGGGAGTGGGTGGATAATTCAGCCCAAGTCCAGAGACCAGGGCAGGGGCACTGAGGGCAGGAGAAGATCTATGCCCTGGTACTCAGGCTGGAAGGAAAAGGGGTGAATTCCTCTTTCCTCCATCTTTTTGTTCTATCCAGGCTCTCAAGGGATTGGATGGTGTCCACTCATATGGGGGAGGGCCATCTCCTTTACTGAGCCCACTAAATCAAATGCTAATCTCATCTAGAAACACCCTCACAGACATCCAGAAACAATGTTTAATCTGGGCACCCTGTAGTGCAGTCAAGTTGATATGTAAATTTAACCATCACACCCTCCAACTTGATTCAGGTCTCTACTCAAATGTCATCTCAGACATTACCTACCAACCCCTAAAAGGGCAACTCCTCTCTCTGCCTGCTCAGTCACAGTCTAGCTCCCTAATATGCCTTCTTCATAACACGTCACTACCCGATACTATGTTATGTGTTGAATGATTGTCTGCCTCCTTTACTACAGAGGCAGGTCCATGAGGCAAAGACTGTTTTGTTAATAGCTGTCTCCAACACCTAATGTCCAGTGCATAATCAGAGTTCAATAAATATTTGTTGAATGAATATATAATTGAATGGTTGTCATGTGTACATATTTGCTCCCCTTCCTCTCAGTTTTTGTGTCTGAACCTCCTTCCCTGCCTCACACGGTGCCTAGCATTTGGGAAGTGACAAAGTGCCTAGAAAGAAAAGCAGCTGTCCTCTTCCTTGCTCCTTTTATCTTCCAGCCACTGAGAGATTAACTTTTAACTCTCTAGTAGTTACTCCAGGACTACTTAAGTAATGATTGTGTCATGACCGAAGTTGGCTGCCTTTATTCTTATGAAATGGGTATGAATGATGGGTATACCGTTTGTAAACAAAAAATAAAATTTGAAACCCCTCAACCATCAGAATAGACCCCTCCTCTTGGCCAAGGACATTCCAAAGTGAACCTGAAAAACTAGTTCGGGTCATAATGGGAAGGGGAGATCGGACATGCCTCATAACCATTAACACCAACGCAGACCTTAAGACTGGTAGAATAAACTCTTTAAGTCTGACAAGAAACATCTACAATCTGTTCTCTCTGAAGCCGGCTACCTGGAGGCTTCATCTGCATGATTAAACCTTGGTCTCCACAAGCCCTTATCATAACCCAGACATTCCTTTATATTGATTCCAGTCTTTAGATAATAACCAACTGTCAATCAGAAAGTCTTTGAATCTGCCTATGACCTGGAAGTCTCTGCTTCCAGTTGTCCTGCCTTTCTAGAGCGAACCAATATATACCTTACATGTATTGGTTGATGTCTTATGTCTCTCTAAACTATATAAAGCCAAGTCATAGGCTGACCATCTTGGGCACATGTTGTCAGCACCTCGAGAGCCTATATCATGGGCATGTCTTTAACCTTGGCAAAATAAACACCTAAATCAATTGAGATGTCTCAGATACTTTTTGATTTACAAGTTCTTGGAGCTCCTTCCAGGAAAACATCATTATTAATAGTTGTGATTCCTAGGCTGCTTAAGATGGGAAGCCATCTGTAAGTCCTACTGTTTACTTTTGTTTCATGTCCAAAGAACTGTTATGTTTGTTTATTTACAATAAAAAACTCACCTCCTCAACCTGAAAAGGCTTAAGGCTAATGGCCTTTTTTTTTTCTTTTTTTGAGACAGAGTTGTGCTCTGTCTCCCAGGATGGAGTGCAGCGGTGCAATCTTGGCTCACTGCAACCTCCGCCTCCTGGGCTCAAGCGATTCTCTTGCCTTAGCCTCTCGAGTAGCTGGGATTACAGGTGTGCGCCACCATGCCCAGCTAATTTTTTGTCTTTTTAGTAGTGATGGGGTTTCGCCATGTTGGCCACGCTGGTCTTGAACTCCTGGCCTCAAGTGATCCACGCATCTCTGCCTCCCAAAGTGCTGGGATTACAGGTGTGAGCCACCGCGGCTGGCCAGGCTAATGGCCTTTCCCCCTGCTGTGGTAGAGATTTCATCATCCCAAATGGAAGATGTGCCAGCCCTATGGAACAGAGCCGAGATGAAAAGGGCCACCTTCTCCCCACCAGCGCACCCTCAGCTGGCTTTCAGCTCACCCTCGGCTCCCCCTCTGCTAGCCCTGCACAGCTCTGCCCCACTTCCCAGTTTGTCTCTGACAGCTCTTCACTTTGCCTGTGCATCTAAGGCAACTGACAGACTAAGCAATGGTTTTGTTTATTGAGGGTGTGGTGTCAGGGTCATCAAGCTGCTGTTGACTTTAATTAGCAATCCTCCAGGCTGTGAAACTTCATTACCTGAAGCTAGTGACAGTACAAAGTTGTAAGAATCTTTGGAACACATCCAGTCTAGTCTAGAAAACACCAGAGGAGCCACTGTGACCATCCCTAAGGGTTTTCTGAAGTTGTTGATTGAGATAGTGACCCTGGTGGTGAATGGTCCCACTTCTACTTCCTCCACCAACCCACAGTCCTGTGATCATGAAGCACTTTGCATATACACTGTAGGATTTCAACACATAATACAACTTCGTGGCCTGGAAACAATTAATTTGATGTCTCAATTGGTTTAAAGTTTTGTCTGATCCGATTATTTGGTTGTGCCCAGTTCCTCTTGACTAAAAGTGCTTGGTCTCCCAGATGCATGTTCTCCCCTCAGCCCCTTTCCCTCCCTAAGATGGTATGTGGAGCAGGGGTGAGGCTTATGTACGTCTTGTGTGGTAGGGAAGAGCTGTGATGCTTAAAGGGGCTGTGGTTTTGGCGGGGAGATCGCCAGTCTACCTGGGACCTTCTCACCCTGCTAGCATTTGCAGTGTTAGCCTACGGCTGTGTAATTTATGAATTGGCCTCTGTACCTGGCTAGAGCCCTGCCTGCTGGGACTATATCCATTCTGAAGTCTAGCTGTGACTCCCACTGGTCTGAACATGAGCATCCACTATAGCCCTACAGATCCACCTCTTCCCTCCTACTGTGACCTCTGGGCAGCCACTTCTCTGAAGACTCCATCAGTCACTGGGGTCTTGCAAGACCCCAGTGGAACTGAAGAAGGCCCAGCTGAGCTCACCTGACCATCCTGTGTGGCCCCAGTGACTTTGAGATGGTGGCATCCCAGGTTGGTACAGGAAAGCCTATGAGGATGGGAGGAACATCGACCCCTTCCTACAGTCCCTCAGAGTAGAAAGGAGGGCTTTTCTTTAATCTTCCTTTGGTCATTTTGTTAGTTTCCTGTGACTGAACAAGTACCACTAACTGGGTATCCTGCACATCAGAAATTTATTATCTCACAGTTCTGGAGGCTGGAAGTCCAAGATGAAGGTGTTGGCAGGGTTGGTTCCTTCTAAGGGCTCTAAGGAAAGATCTGTTCCAGGCCTCTTTCCTTGGCTTGTAGATCTTTATGTTCATGTGGCGTTCTCCTAGATGGCTGCTGTGTCCAAATCTCCCCTTTTTGTAACAACACAAGTCATATGGATTAGGGACCACTCTAATGACCTCATTTTAACTTGATTACCTCTTTAAGGTCCTATCTCCAAAGAAGGTCACATTCTGAGGTATGGGGGGTTAGGACTTCAATCTATGAATCTTGGGTGGACAGAATTCAACTCATGACAGTTAAATTCCACTGCTCTCATACAATTCAGGTTGTAGAGTTATCCCCACCGTGTAGCTGTCATGAGCAAATGGGTTACCTTCTCTTCATTATGGAGATAACTCTGTAACCCGAATCATCCAGGCTTGATGGATAATGTGCCCAGAAGAGGAGAGGTGTTTAGAACATCCCTTATTAAAGCTGTAGCCTAGTTGCAAGACCATTGCCTTTGTACTTAATCCTACTATATAGGTCAAAACCTGAATATTAATTAAGTCTTTCTCTTTGCGTTTTTTTTCTGTGACATTCTTAATCTTCCCCCAGTCACCACCCCCTTCCCTCAACCTGTGCCTGCCCCCAGGCAAATGGTTGCTCACAACCAACTAGGAAAAAGTCATGCAATTAGAAAGGCAAAACACAAAACTTAGATGAATTACGCATGAGTTGAAAGGACTTTTAGGCATTGATGCAGAGATCTAACAACATTCCCATTGTTTTATGTTTCTGGTTTTATTTTAAAAACAACATTGCACCATTGAAAGAAAACTGTTACTCATATATCTACTATTCTAATACAAGTAATTTCATTTTTCTATAATGCCTTCTTGGCAGGCCCATAGACATAAATGTTTCTGTGAAATTGTAAGCATGGTGCACATACCAATGATATCTTCTGACTCCTTTACCCAACAATATATCACAGTTGTTGTCCCTGCAACTAACATTATTGATGCGATCATTTTTAATATTTGCATAATGTCACAATACATTGGTTTCTCTTAATTTGTATTTATGTATTTATTTACTTTTTGAGACAGGGTCTCACTCTGTCACCCAGGCTAGAGTGCAGTGGCGTGATCACAGCCACCTCAGCCTTCTGAGTAGCTGGGACTACAGGCACTCACCACCATGCCAAGCTTTCATGCGCGTCCGTGTGAAGAGACCACCAAACAGGCTTTGTGTGAGCAACATGGCTGTTTATTTCACCTGGGTGCAGGTGGGCTGAGTCCGAAAAGAGAGTCAGCAAAGGGTGGTGGATTATCATTAGTTCTTATAGGTTTTGGGATAGGCGGTGAAGTTAAGGGCAATGTTTTGCGGGCAGGGGTGGATCTCACAAAGTACATTCTCAAGGGTGGGGAGAATTACAAAGAACCTTCTTAAGGGTGGGGGAGATTACAAAGTACATTGATCAGTTCGGGTGGGGCAGAAACAAATCACAATGGTGGAATGTCATCAGTTAAGGCTATTTTTACTTCTTTTGTAGATCTTCAGTTACTTCAGGCCATCTGGATGTATACGTGCAAGTCATAGGGGATGCGATGGCTTGGCTTGGGCTCAGAGGCCTGACATTCCTGCCTTCTTATATTAATAAGAAAAATAAAACAAAATAGTGTTGAAGTGTTGGGGCAGCGAAAATTTTTGGGGGGTGGTATGGAGAGAGAATGGGCGATGTTTCTCAGGGCTGCTTCGAGCGGGATTAGGGGCGGCGTGGGAACCTAGAGTGGGAGAGATTAAGCTGAAGGGAGATCTTGTGGTAAGGGGTGATATTGTGGGGATGTTTGAAGAAACATTTGTCATATAGAATTATTGGTGATGGCCTGGATACGGTTTTGGATGAATTGAGAAACTAAATGGAATAAGAGAAGGAGAAAAACAGGTATAAAAGATTTAAGAATTGGGAGGACCTAGGACATCTGATTAGAGAGTGCCTAAGGAGATTCAGCATAGTCCTGCCAGCAAAGATTATTCACTTCAAGAGTTTAGAGTGGCAGTTTGGGGATAGCACCAGGAGATACCAGCTGTGATGGCTTGGAGAAACAGTGTAAACCGGCAGTGTAAACAAGAGCAGGGCATGTATGAGTAGTTGAGAATGGTGAATAGAAGTATGACTAGGCAGAAGATAGTAGGGATGACAAGTTTTTTTGGGGCACAGTCTAAGTTGGTCTGGTGTCTGGAATGAGACTGGGGCCTAATAAAAAGGAACGTCTATACAGGAGCTCAAATGGGCTGTACCCTGTAGCATTCTGAGAACAGGTCTGACTTCTGAGAAGGGAAAGTGGTAAAAGTATTGTCCAGTCCTTTTTAAGTTGGTGGCTGAGCTTGGTGAGGTGTGCTTTTAATAGACCATTAGTCTGTCACTGAATACTAAGAGCCTGAAAAAATGCTTGGCTGATTTGACTAATAAAGGCTGGTCTGTTATCAGACTGTATAGAGGTGGGAAGGCTAAACTGAGGAATTATGTCTGACAGAAGGGAAGAAATGACTGCGGTGACCTTCTCAGACCCTGTAGGAAAGGCCTCTACCTATCTAGTGAAAGTGTCTACTTAGACTAAGAGGTATTTTAGTTTTTGTGACTCGGGGCATGTTGAGTAAAGCTAATTTGCCAGTCCTGGGCGGGGGTAAATCCTTGAGCTCGATGTGTAGGGAAGGGAGGGGGCCTGAATAATCCCTGAGGAGTAGTAGAATAGCAGATGGAACAGTGAGAATTTATTTCCTTGAGGATAGATTTCTACGATGGAAAGGAAATGAAAGGTTCTAAGAGGCGGGCTAGTGGCTTGTACTATAGCATAGCCTGCCTTTGCTGGTGTGTGGCGATTAGGCCTGGTGGAACTGCCATCAATAAATCAAGAGTGATCAGGGTGAGAAACAGGGAAGAAGGAAATGTGGGGAAATATGATGAACGTCAGGTGGATCAGAGAGATGCAGTCATGGGGGTCAGGTGTGGTATCTGGAATAATGTGGGAGGCTGGATTGAAGTCTGGGCCAGGAACAATGGTAATTGTGGGACTTAGCAAAGAGTGAGTACAGCTGAAGGAGCCGGGGAGCAGAAAGTATATGCGTCAGGTATGACGAAGAAAATAGATTTTGGAAGTTATGAGAAATGTAGAGAGTGAGTTGAGCATAGTTTGTGATTTTTAGGGCCTCTAAAAGTATTAAAGCAGTGGCAGCCACTGCACGCAGACATGAGGGCTAGGCTAAAACAGTAAGGTCAAGTTGTTTGGACAGAAAGGCTACAGGGTGCGGTCCTGGCTCTTGTGTAAGAATTCTGACTGCACTAACTATGCCTAGGAAGGAAAAGAGTTGTTGTTTTGTAAAGGATTGAGGTTTGGGAGATTAATCAGACATGATCAGCAGGGAGAGCATGTGTGTTTTTATGAGAATATGCCAAGATAGGTAACAGATGAGGATAAAACTTGGGCTTGACTGAAGTAATGGGGGCTGTCTGTGAAGCCTTGCGGCAGTACAGCCCAGGTAATTTGCTGAGCCTGATGGGTGTCAGGGTCAGTCTAAGTGAAAGCAAAGAGAGGCTGGGATGAAGGGTGCAAAGGAATAGTAAAGAAAGCATGTTTGAGATCCAGAACAGAATAATGGGTAGTAGAGGGAGGTATTGAGGATAGGAGAGTATATGGGTTTGGCACCACAGGGTGGATAGGCAAAACAATTTGGTTGATAAGGCGCAGATTCTGAACTAACTTGTAAGGCTTGTCTAGTTTTAGGACAGGTAAAATGGGGGAATGGTAAGGAGAGTTTATAGGCTTTAAAAGGCCATGCTATAGCAGGCGAGTGATAACAGGCTTTAATCCTTCCAAAGCATGCTGTGGGATGGGATATTGGCTTTGAGCAGGGTAAGGGTGATGATTAGGTTTTAATGAGATGGTAAGGGGTGCATGATCAGTTGCAAAGGAGGGAGTAGAGGTATCTTATACTTGTGGGTTAAGGTGGGGGGATACAAGAGGAGGACACAAAGGAGGCTTTGGATTGGAAAGAAGGGCAGTAATGAGATGTAGCTGTAATCCAGGAATAGTCAGGGAAGCAGATAATTTAAAGTGTCTCAGCCTAATAAGGGAACTGGGCAGGTGGGGATAACTAAAAGGAGGGCTTAAAAGAGTATTGTCTAAGTTGGCACCAGAGTTGGGGAGTTTTAAGAGGTTTAGAAGCCTGGCTGTCAATACCCACAACAGTTATGGAGGCAAGGGAAACAGGCCCTTGAAAAGAAGGTAATGTGGAGTGGTTAGCCTCCGTATTGATTAAGAAGGGAAAGGACTTATGCTCCACTGTGAGAGTTACCTAAAGCTCGGCGTCCATGGTGGTCTACGGGGCTTCCAAGGCGATCGGGCAGCATCAGTCTTCAGCCGCTAAGCCAAGAAGGAGTCAGTCAGAGAGCCTTGGGCCAGAGTTCCAGGGGCTCTGGGAGTGGCTGCCAGGTGAGATGAACAGTCCGATTTCCAGTGGGGTCCCGCACAGATGGGACATGGCTTAGGAGGAATCCTGGGCTGCAGGCATTCCTTGGCCTGGTGGTCAGATTTCTGGCACTTGTAGCAAGCTCCTGGGGGAGGAGGTTCTGGAGGAAGGCCTGGCCGCTGCGGTTCAGGCGTTTGGAAGTTCTTGTGTGCTGGAGATGTGGCTGGGGTTTGTCTCACAGTGGAGGCAAGGAATTGCAACTTTTTTCTATTATTGTACTCCTTGAAGGCGAGGTTAATTAAATCCTGTTGTGGGGTTTGAGGGCCGGAATTTAATTTTTGGAGTTTTATTTAATGTTGGGAGCAGATTGGGTAATAAAATGTATATTGAGAATAAGACGGCCTTTTGACCTTTTAGGGTCCAGGGCTGTAAAGTGTCTCAGGGTTGCTGCCAAACGAGCCATGAACTGGGCTGGGTTTTTATATTTGATGAAAAAGAGCCTAAACGCTATCTGATTTGGGATAAAGAAAAAGGAGCATTAACCTTGACTATGCCTTTAGCTCCAGCCACCTTTTTAAGAGTAAATTGCTGAGCAGGAGGGGGAGGGCTAGTCACAGAATGAAACCGTAAGCCGGACCAGGTGTGAGGAGGGGAGGTGATAAAAGGATTATTGGGTGGAGTAGCAGAGGCTGAGGAAGAATTGGGACCTAGCTCAGCCTGGTGAGGAGGGGAGAGGTCAGATGGGTCTGTAGAAAAGGAAGATTAGAAAGACTCAGCCACGCTTGGGGTTGGGACTGAGGGGACAGGCGGGAGGGAAAGAAGGAAGATTTGGGACGAGTTGCATTGGGCTCAGAGACTAGGGAGGAACTGATGTGTAAAAGAATACCTGGAGGCACCTCAGATCATTTGCCCATTTTACAACAAGAATTATTTAGATCTTATAGGATGGAAAAATTGAAAGTGCCATTTTCCGGCTATTTGGAACTACTGTTGAGTTTGTATTGGGGTCAAGCGGCATTGCAGAAGAAAATAAGATGCTTCGATTTTAGGTCAGGTGAGAGTTGAAGAGGTTTTAAGTTCTTAAGAACACAAAGTAAGGGAGAAGAAAGAGGAATGGAAGGTGGAAGCTTGCCCATAGTGAAGGAGGCAAGCCCAGAGAAAAGAGTAGAGACACGGAGAAGGGGTGGGGGGTTCTTGCCCTCCAGAAAAGCAGAGAAAGGGTTGGGGTATGGAAATAAGGGATCGGGGGTTCTTGCCCCCTAGAAAAGCAGGACTTGCCGCTAAGGGTGAAGGAGAAGGGGTTGAGGGGTTCTTGCCCCTGCCCCAGAAAATCAGAGAAGGGGTAGAGACATGGAGAGAAGGGGTTTGGGTACTTGCCTCTCCCCTAGAAAAGCAGAGAAGGGGTAGAGACACGGAGAGAAGGGGTTGGGGTACTTGCCCCCCTCCAGAAAAGCGGGACTTGCTGCTAAGGGTGAAGGACCAAGGCAGGCATCCCTGCGTGGTCTGACACCTTTGAAACGTGGGTGAATAATCAGAGAGGCGTCCCTGCAATGATTAAACACCAAGGGAAGGCTGCCTTCCCAGTCCGTGACCGGCGCCGGAGTTTTGGGTCCACGGATAAAACGTGTCTCCTTTGTCTCTACCAGAAAATGAAAGGAATTGAAATTAAGAGAAGGGAGATTGAAGTGTGGTGCCAAGATTGAAAGGAGAAAGAGGTTGAGGGATAGTGAGGGAAGTTGGAGAAGAGAGTAAAAAGAGGCCGCTTACCGGATTTGAAATTGGTGAGATGTTTCTTGGGCTGGTCGGTCTGAGGACCTGAGGTCGTAGATGGATCTTTCTCATGGAGCAAAGAGCAGGAGGACGGGGGATTGATCTCTCAAGGGAGGTCCCCCGATCTGAGTCACGGCGCCAAATTTCATGCGCGTCCGTGTGAAGAGACCACCAAACAGGCTTTGTGTGAGCAACATGACTGTTTATTTCACCTGGGTGCAGGTGGGCTGAGTCCGAAAAGAGAGTCAGCAAAGGGTGGTGGATTATCATTAGTTCTTATAGGTTTTGGGATAGGCAGTGAAGTTAAGAGCAATGTTTTGCGGGCAGGGGTGGATCTCGCAAAGTACATTCTCAAGGGTGGGGAGAATTACAAAGAACCTTCTTAAGGGTGGGGGAGATTACAAAGTACATTGATCAGTTCGGGTGGAGCAGAAACAAATCACAATGGTGGAATGTCATCAGTTAAGGCTATTTTTACTTCTTTTGTAGATCTTCAGTTACTTCAGGACATCTGGATGTATACATGCAAGTCATAGGGGATGTGATGGCTTGGCTTGGGCTCAGAGGCCTGACACAAGCTAATTATTTTTTTCTTTTTTTTTTTTTTTGTAGAGACAAGGTTGCCCAGCTGGTCTCAAACTGGGGATCAAGCAATCCTCCTGCTTCAGCCTCCCAAAGTGCTAGGATTATAGGGATGAGCTACTGTGTGCTCAGCCTTCTTAATTTCTTAAACCTTTTTTTGAGTGTGTGTGTGTGTGGCACAATTAGTATCTAGTTTTTAAGTTTAACAACAATTGAACATCTTTGCTCTTTTTTCCTGTTGAATTTGTGTCTTAGGGCATATTCCTTGAAGTGGCATTCCAGGGTCAATGATTATAAACACTTCCATGGTTTTTGACATGTATACATAACATTTCATGGAAAAGTATTTCAAATGAAAATTTCTGAGTTTTTCAAATAAACGGCTATATACATGAAATTGTATCACATTGCTGGTTTTAAAATTTGAGATTGCTGGGCATGGTGGCTCGTGTCTGTAATCCCAGCACTTTAGGAGGCAGAGGTGGGTGGATCAGGCAGCTCAAGACCAGCCCAACCAACATGGTGAAACCCCGTCTCTACTAAAAATGCAAAATTAGCCAGGCATGGTGGTGCATGCCTGTAATCCTAGCTATTTGGGAGGCTGAGGCAGGAGAATTGTTTGAACCTGGGAGACAGAGGTTGCAGTGAGCTGAGATCGTGCCACTGAACTCCAGCCTGGGCAACAAGAGTGAAACTGTCTCAAAAAAAAAAAAAAAAAAAAAAGAAAAGAAAAAAGAAAAAGAAAAAGAAAAAGAAAAAACTATTTGAGATTGACTATTCTGTATTATATTTGTACAATATAAATTTATACTTCTGAGTACAGACACACTAGATGGATCAGTCTTCTCCTGAGTAATGAATGTATTCTTGGCTTTGGAGAGCTACACTGAGGGCAGCGTATGCCTGAGGGCAGGATTTCTGTTCCCTTTCTGTCCCCAGGACACTCTCAGCCTGCTGAGAACAGGAACAAATGTATCTAGCTGGATTCTGCCGCATGAGGTGCAGCAGTGGAGAGGTAGTGTCTCTAGTGTACTGATGTCTTTTTCCAGAATATTTCTGTAGGCGGAAGGAGTAGGAAGTGTTGTCAAGGCCCGAGAAACAGGACCCAGCTGCTTCTCAAAGCTCTCTAAGGAGACGGGAGTTTCCATGTGGGTTGCTGTCTATCCTCTTTCAGGTGAAGCCACAGTTTAACTATCTTGCTAATGGAGTTCTCAGGAGGAGCAGAGATTTGATTTTCTCACTGGAACCTGCTGCCAACTCTCAAATACTTTCAACATCTGGCAGGGCTGACAATGAATGTATCCAGAGACAAAGGGATTTGACAGAGGAGGAAGAGGAACATGGCTCGCCCCTTCCCTCCCTTTCTTCTTCCCCTTCTTTCCTCCCTCTTTTCCTTTTTCACCTTTCCTTTTCCTTTTCAAAGCATTTTAAACCCCCAGAACATTTTCCTTCAAGCGAAGAGCCAAATGTATGCAGCACATTTCAGAACAAAATGTGCTTCCCTACAAGGAGCCATGGAAAGTTTGAGATTCTAGACGGCTCTTCCCCACAGCTGTATGCTGTAAGCTCCCCTCTCTCTCCTAAGCCTTTTACCAGCTAAGATTAAATTAACATGGCAGCCAGTACAGAGGCCAATGAGTGATGAAATGCAGGAGCTCAGACTCAGTACGGCACCTGTTTTCTAATGAACCATGGAAGGAGAATAATAACGTTCTTCCTGCAGTGATAGGTGATGAAGCTGGGCTTGGATCTGTTAAAGAAATGACTCTTTTACCCGAGAAGTAGCTCTAGGGATGGAGATAACTATATCCCCGGTGTAGACTGGAAGCCATGTTGAAATAGGATTAGCATAGTGAACACCAAAAGCTCTCAATAATGGCTGTCATGATGTATGTCAGGCCTTGTATCATGTGCTCATTAATTCTCACCTTCACAGTTTGTTGAAGCATCTCACAATAATCCCTAGGCACAAGCTGCACTATCTTCCTGTCCACACTGAATCCATAGAAATGATAGAAAATATATTTTGAAAAATATGTATTTGCACCTCAAAACAAGAAGGAGAACTTAGGTGACTTGGAAACTTGAGACATCTCCAGGAGAAAAGAAAAGGAAGCCTCAGGTGCCAGGCCTGTACTTTAGAAAGCTTGCATCTCTTACACACACATGTACACACACACACATTGATCAGAGGACATCTGGGAGCCTGGGGCCTGTGGTCCAGTGCTCAGCTCTGGCACAATGAGACCCATAGTCTGAACATCTGCCCTTGAGGTGAACACAGCTCAGGCCCCAGGGAATTACTCCACAGCTTTGCCCACTGTCTTCTCTTCCATTCTCTTCCCCAGGCTAAGCAGTGACAATCAGGGTCCTTGTCTCTAAATATGAACGGTAAGTGTGGGAGCCTGGGATGGAGAGAACAGAGCCCCAGGTGAATAGCAACACCACGGTGAACATGGAGGCACCTGTGTACCTTATCCAGTGGTCCAGACTGTCCTTCCGCTACTACTGCTAACATTGGAGCAGGTGGGGGCAGTGGTGAACAAGCTCTCCCTCTCCTGAAGAACTGAAGGGCCTTGACCACAGGGATTAGAATGCAACTTTGAATCACCAGATGCTTGAAAAAAATAAGCCCCACAAAAGGAGATAACAAACTGAACTTACACCTGAGGGCACAAAGTTAATGGAATGATCAGAACAGGATTGTTGCAAAGCAAACTTAAAATTCACAAAGAAATAAAGGAGGGTGTTATATCCATAAAGTAAGAATAGGTGGTTATGAAACAAGAACATGTGGCTTTGAAAATAGACCATTTGGTTATCTTGGAAACAGAAAATACAACTTTGCAATAGCAACAGATCCTTCATTGGCAAAGCTGGAAGTCAGAACAGGCAGGAGGAATGCTTTTCAAGTTCTGAGAAAAAAAATGTGAATGCAATTCTATATCTAGCCGAATGAACATTTAAGAGTGGGGATGAAGTAAAGACATTTTCAGTCATATAAGATCTTTAGAAGATATTCTCGTATATAGACTCTACCTGAAAAATAACCAAAGAATGTGTTCCAGTTAGAGGATACAAGAATCCCAGAGCAAGAAGTGTTATACAAGGTATAATAGTAAGAAAAAGTAAGCAAAATATATTCTTTGTTTAAAAAAGGCTTTTATTACAAATGTGAACCTAAATTTGCAGAAAATGTCACATAATATGTATATATTACAGATATACAGGTAAAGCTGGAGGAAGTGGGTATTGGAAAGTGTGTATCTGAGGGAGATAAAAAGTGTGTTAGAGTTCCTGGCTTGCATTAGGAGAAACTATATCAAGCTGAACCATATCAACTTACCATTTTTGTAAATTAAAAAATGGTCTGATATCAGCAATTTCACATGTGCATATAGATAAAAAATGATTCTACAAAGATATCCATGAAAAGAAGAGAAATCAAATACTGAACTTTCAAATCAATTGAGGGGAACAAAATGGGTGGTATTTCACAGATAAAGAAATGAAGATATTTAATCAGTTGCTTTGGATTGGAACCTTGGTCTAGTCCTGACTCCCAGGACTCCAAGGTTACTTCAGAACAAAAGGAAAGGACAAAAACACCAAGCAACCACAAAACAAAGAGCTAATGAACAGAACAGAGATCCTGCCATAGCCCCTCCCTTCTTTTTCCTCAGTCCCTCACTCTTGCTGGGGGTTACTTCTTTGGCACCAGGCACCTCACCCTAGGGACCCACGCTGGATGCTGGAAGTTCCTCCCT